>NC_000012.12:72308612-72460128 GCF_000001405.40 Homo sapiens
TCCAGGTTATATCAGTAGCTGTAAAAATGCTTTTATTGTGTAATAATTTAATGTTATACACTCATTTTTTAAAATAGAAGATGATATATAAATGTCCAATTAAGTATTGTTTCTATCTATTTTTCAAAACTGTTATGCTACCTAAAATCTCACAAGTAAAGACTAAGTGATCATGGTATGATATGAAGTTATACCATGAAGAAACTTCTCTAATCCAGTATTATTCCCTTTCTGACTTAGTTGAGAAGAAACTCCCATCTCAATTTAGTGCCTAGTTGCATAATTTATCTGACTTCACCTTTTGATAACTCTAATCCACTTCAAGTTCATTTCTTTGTTCTTTTTTTAATGTTAGAACTCTTGTCACTTTGAGTTTATTTTTTAATTAACTTTTTTGAGGTATAATTTATGTACGGGATGGCACCCTTTTAAAATGAACAATTCACTGGGTATTGACAGATGCAAAACCATGGCTACAATCAAGACAGTTTCCATCGCCCCCAGAAGTTTCTTCTTGCTACTCCCTCTGTTTCCAGTCCCCAGCAGCTAGTACACTGAGTTTGAGTTGGTGAGCCTTTAAAAGTCATTTTTGAGGTAGAAGGCAGATGGTATTTGTTTGAGAAACAAAGAAGAGGTGAAAAGGAGAGAGAGAGATCGTCTACTCTTTCAAGCTGTTTGTGAAGAGAAAGTGTGAGAAAGAGAGGTAGTCAGACACAATTAAGGGAAGGATTTTTAAAAATTTTTGCATGTGTTATGTGCTGAATAGAAAAAGCAGTGGAAAGGGAGATTTTGAAACTACTGGAAAGGTGAGATCAATGATGAAAGAGGGTCCCCAGAGAGATGAGAGGGGCTGGGGTAAAAAGCACAATTGGGGAATAACTGGAAAGGAGGAAAAACAGCTTTTCCTCAAAAAGAGATGAGATGGTCCAATATGATGCAGATAAGAAGTATATTACTATACTTGGAGACAGTTGAAGGGTTCATATTTGATAGTTCAACTTCCTCAATTAAGTGCAAGAGAAGTTTATGTGTTGAGAGATGCAGAGAAGAAAAAAATATAAAAGGGTGTGTTTTTTTTTTCCTTTCAGTTGCTCTTTGTGGCCAGGATGTAGCAGAAAAATAAAAAAAAGAAGATGGAGTTTTTTGATACTGCAGAGGATGCAGAGGAAAGACAGGAAAATCAGGAAGTTGAATGCTTGTAATAGAATGGTTGATACTATGCTATGCACCATGAAGTTTAAACAGATTAGGAAACCGGTCAGAGTCAGGAGTCAAGGGGTAGAGGTGAGGCGAAGAACATTTTATTTTCTCTGTTAGATCTGAAGCCCTATTTAAAACAAAACAGTGAAACGCTGATCATTCTATTTTGTTGCTTGTTAATGCAATTTGTTTCCATTAAAACTAATGAAGAGTGGGTGTACATTGGTGAGACTGGGCCGTATGTCCAGCACAAGAATAATGGAAGATGCTATGACACACCATAGTTCGTGGTGCTGGGCCATGGAGTCTGGAGCCCTATTGCCTGTGTTTGGATTTTCTAGCTGTGTGATCTTGTACAAGTTACATAACCCCTCTATGTCTGACTTTCTTCACCTGTTAAAGGGAGACAATAATAGTATCCACCTCATAGGGTTGTTGTGAAAATTAAGTGCCTTAATATGTGCCAATAGCTAAGTCTAGCTTGTATTATTATAAGTCGGTAAACCTGAATTCAAGTCTCCTGTCTAAATTCAGAGCCTTTGGCCTGTGCCTATGGGCAAGCCGTTCAACCATTGCTGATTGCTTTTCACTTACTTAAAAATCTTGACTGCGTTTATTTTTGTGATAATTGAATGGGATAATATACATAAAAGTGTTCTGTAACTTTGAAACACTATATTTCTACATAATGTATTAATTGCATTTCAGTTAAATAGAATAAAGCAATAAGTGTGAAAATGCTATGAAATATGAAATGTTCACATAAATGTAGAGCTGCACTAGGAATTGGAAATGTTTTGTCAATTATTATTATAATAATTTTGATTATATATTTATATGAGTATATTTTTAACTTGTAACTCTGAAGAAAAAAAATATTGGCGAGAAGGCAGCCATTTAAATTCCTAATTAAAATGAAGTTTTTGCTTCCCTCGTGGATCTATTTCCTTCCTTAGCATGTGGAGTGGAAATTTGACAGTCCCTAATCAATACCAATTTCAGCTTATTCCGACCTCTAATGGTATTGAATCAAGAATTTATTCATGTATAGAATGTCACAATTTTTTTTAAAGATTTCTGACAACTCTGCATTTGAGCTTCATGGAGTATTATTGGAGAAAAAATCAGAGCATATTTTGTCACTCTGGCCCCTCTACTTTCTTTTTCCTTTTCCAATTAGTTTTTATTAAAGCCAGGTTATTGGTGTATACGTTATATACAATAATATTTACCCTTCTTAGGTATATAGTTCTAAGGATTTTGACAAATGCATATAGTCATTAACCACCACCACAATCAAGATATAGAACATTACCATCACTCCAAAATGTTCCTTTATGTCTCTTTGTGGTCAGTCCCTTACCCCAGCTCCAGGCCTTGGCAACCACTGATTTTTTTTTTCTTTTCCCACTGTTTTGTCTTTTCTAGAAAGTCATCTGTATCAATTAGCTATTTTTAAACAGGTTCTGGAAACCTGTTATTGGACTTCATTACTAATGACACCCAGATTTATCCAACATCTGTACATGTATGAACATATCAGTGTATGTGTCTATAATTATGGTCGTCTATGGGCAGCTGAGTAAAGATGTTGCTAATGAGTCTACAGATGCAGGCTTCATTCATAACTTAGAGCAGCTAGGGCTAGTGGTGCAGTCTTCATGGATGGAATCAGCACATTAACATTGTTGAAAATCCAGCAAAAGGAAGAGATTGTTTTTCACTTGCCATTCAGTAAATATTGCTGACTATTCATGAAACAAATGATACTTTAATGGGATACTAACTAAATAGCTTTACCTACTGTCAGGGAGAAACTCAGTTAATCTGTATGATGAGAATGATAATAATGACAGTATTAATCCTGTTTTGTCCATTATATTGGCCAATTTGGAGTGTCATAGTTGAGTCAGTACATTTTGGTGGATATCCAGTAATGCAGAAACTGGAGAAAAAACAGGCAAAATGGGCAATTGAGGGGCAATATAAATTCTTCCTATAACATATGGGGGAGAATGAAACTCATTATTTAGCTGTCTGCTATAATAGCTTCAAATCATTTAGTACTTTCCTTCCAGAAAGGAATCTTTTCTTACTCTTCTTTTTTTTATTCGTATTTTCTTCATTAAGACTATTACGTAAATTTCAATGTCTGGATTGTAGCAAAGATGTAGAGAGAAGTGGAAGCAAAGTGAACAAACACTTGCTGAGTTTCTGCCACATATGTTATAGACACTTAAAATACATCTTGCTTAATCCTCACAAAAACCCTGAGAAGTAGGTACTGTTATCACCGTTTACAGGCATGCAAAGCGAAAGGAGCTTGTCCAGGGTCACACAGCTAGTAAAATCAGGACCGCCCTCAAAGGCCATAGTCAGTTACCTCACCTTGCTGATTTCCTGTATTGCTGCCCATTATGCAGCATGATGACTTTTCAGTGTCGTCCCTTATGCTCTATTTATCTACCAGCTAAATGTATTGGTATTGTTCACAGAGCATCAACTTTATGATTATGTACAATTGTTCAACAAATAACAGGAATCGCTTTTTATTTTCTATATATAGGAGGTTAGAACAACTTATAATAAATATGATGACCTTTAGGTCAGACATTTCCTGTAAAGTAATGACCAGACCTTCTCCAGCTTGCTATTAATTATGGTCCAAGAGCACTCAGCAATTGTTTTAAAAATAATAAAAATAAATAAATAATGCAACAAATGATACTTCGGTTATTATGTAACAATGTGGTGGGTGTTAAAAAGGTAATATTGGTAGCCTACCACCATTTCCCGTTACTTCACTCAGAGAATATGAACACATTTTCCGGGAGGTCACGAATTTACCAGATTTCATTGGGCTATATTATTCTCTCAAACCTTAATAAAATGTTACAAAGGTTATAGTTCCACTTTTTAAGGTTATGCCACTTAAAAAAATGAGATAAACATCAGCTTCGTAGATTATAAAAAAGTATTTGGTCCAGGAATTCTAGTAAGTAATAAAGTAGTGACCTATACCTCCACTATTTTTCCCCTTCCTCCCTCTTTCTTACTGCATCTCTGCCAATATACATCAACAAACATCTAGTTTTTGAGGGTCTTGAAGCAAAACTTTTCTTAACATTTTTGAAAACTTTTAAAGGAAGTCTTCCTTCCTCTCTCCCTCCCTTCCCTCCTCTTATGCTCTTGGTTTTTAGCCATTTGAAATATTTTTACTCATGTGATATAAGCCTTTATTTGGTTAGAATATAAACATTAAAATTTTTTATAGTTATTAGGTTTATGATTTCATTATTGTGGGCAATATTTATAGTCTCAAACAACTGGGCCAGATAAATAATTTTACTGTTTTCCTAAAACTAAAATATTTGGCTAGTTTCAGCGTATTGATGGATTTTTTAAAAAATTTCAGACTTTATTGGCATTGTAGAACACCTGATAGACCAAATATTCATACAAGTTTTTTTATATTTATATTTATACAAGTTTTTAAATATTTGACCACATATTAATACAAGTGTTTTTTCTTTTCCTTTTGGCCTTCTATTTAAATTAAAACATTCGAAAATATTTTTAATACTTCTTAAATATTCCAATGAGTGTTTTTAAAAGCGTTCTGTTATGCAAATGTGATATAACTGTGATAGTATAAGATATAGCCCAAAATATATTATTGTACTGAAATTAATTGTCATTAAAAGGGCGTTATAATTTTTATATATATTTTTTCTGTTTGTTGACACCAAACTCTGCACTGTTTTATCATGGAAAAAATGTTCTGCTAGAACATCTTTATTTTTAAGCAAAGTGTAGAAGCTTTTAGAATAAGTAATCTTAACAAAGTATGGAACATATAGCACAAAACTTTGAGGGACAGTTCTCTAAGGTTTTCTACAAGTCTTGTGAAAGCTTTTGTTCAATTCTGGATTATCTTTTAAGGATGTTTGCATAGTTGAGACACAGTAAATAACTTTCAAAGCTAGAGATATTGTCTCCCTCTGGGGAAGAGGGCAGATTTCTTCCCTGATCAGGACAAACTCTTTCAGAAACAAAGATTGGGCAAGTTTCCTTACAGTTCACTTTATAATGCTGAGGATTTTTCAAGCTTGGAATTCCTCAGATCCAGTGTGTGTGCAGCGTCCGTTTGCTTTGCATCACTCCCACAGGACCTGGGAGCAAGGAAAGCCTATATGTAAATGAAGCTCATGCTGCCTGCTCTTCTATGGATAATAAAGTTATGTTTCTGACCCAGGGGTCTCATGTCTTTTGTCAGCCTCTGTGAGACTGTGACAGGCTAAACTCTTAACTTGCAAGCAATGTAAAATCTCAGACCCTTAGCAGTTCTTGACAAAAATATCTGTTTTATCACATGTGAGCTGAATTGAGTGTACCAGAACAGCAGACACCAGGTCTTGTCTTGTCATTTCTTTTGTCCTTTTCTTTTTTTTTCCTCTCTCTTTCTCTTTTCTTTTCTTTTCTTTCTTTCTTTTCTATCTCCTCCCTTCCTCCCTCCCTCCCTCCCTTCCTTCCTTCTTTTTTTTTAAAAAAAGAAAAGAAACCTTATAAATGCAAACTTGCAATCTGTTACTCTGGATTTCTGGTTAATTTTGAAAATTAAATAAACTGAGAATGAACCATTCATATATAATATTTTCATTATAGACATTATCCACTATGGCAGCATTTACTGTAGACACCGTACATAGATATGAATTAATTTTATTTGCATAAAATTGCTACTGTTTCAAACCAGTGTCACTGAAGGAAAAATGGTAGGAAACACTGAAATGATAGTTTTGGGTTTGATATATCTACAGTTTGTAGTTATGTGGAGTGCCTCCCTTTGGACCTACCAAGAGTCACAGGTGAAGTTTATATTGAATTGTGGCAAGTGGATAAAAAAAAAATCAGAGTTTTAAAAAGTGAAGATGAATGGTGACTGTGATTTTAATGTTTTGTTTAATGTTTGGCATTATGTCTTTTTTTCATTCTGAATTAGCTTCCCTGATTAAATGTTAGAATTAGGAATTGAAATTTGGAAATGTGGTTACACTTACAAAACATTTTTAAAAACACTGCATTTAGGACTAATGTTCAGATGGTTAGATGGCAAGTTTGCACTCACTGAACCACAAATACCTTTTAATATAATTCATGTTTTAATTGCAAATTTACCAAATTAACTTATTGCTACCTAGTTAAAAATAAATTGTTTAGGCAGATATATCTGTATAACTTACATTAGGATGATTTCTTAACATTTATTCAGAGTATTTTAACCCTTAGCTTTTTAAAATAATATTTTTTGTTCAATTTAAAGGAAAGTGGTATCCTTTATGTTTTTAAAACAAATGGACTCATTTCTAGTTTTTCTCAGCTACTTGCCTCAAACCCTTTGCATAATTTAGGTGAGGAAGATAAACTTTTACTTTAGACTCTGGTGAGATTAGGAAGTATTTTAAAGTGATAACTAAGGATTGCTTTTTGCTAATTTTGTAAGAAAAAAACCAAACCGATAGGTCTTATACAAGTTCCTCAAGGTGGCAATATTTTATGGAACAAGTAGTTTAGATTTTGTAAGTCCATATATACTTTAGATTTTTTTTTCAAGCAGCCATCTGTGCCATAACTCATGATTTCTTGTGCATTTTAATCAGCATCTAGTTATGCATAGCTCTAGCCTTATTGCCATCTAAATACTTAAAACAGTAAAGTGCTGCAGGATATTAAGACATGTAGCTGTAAAATTATGGTATGCACTTTCTCTCTGTACCTGAGCAGATGATCTGCAAATCAAGGCCTCTCAGAGGCATATGGGCAGAGCTGCTGGAAAATGTGGTTGGCCACAGGAGCCCAGGACTGGTGGTTGAGGCTGCCAGGACGCCTGGGTGTCTTTTGGTTTAGCCTTGGGTCCTCCAGTTAGGCAGGACTGCCTGATGCCCTCTTGTCCCTAATTCACTTTGATCAGCCTGTTGGTACTGATGGGAAAGGAGAGCTGGCAATACAGCATTATTGCCATGTAGCTTGATTTTCTGCAGCATTTTAATTACATTGTGTGGCCTTGGAATTATGGTTACTTTAAAAGGATGCTCAATGATTTTTTCCCCCTTTTTATGTAATTTAGCTGGGGGAGAAAAACACAACTAAATTCCATTTCAAACAGAAATGTGTTGTGCCAGCTGCGGATTGAGGCCTGGCCTTGATTCGCAAATTTTCATAGATTCAGAGGATGTTCTGCCAGCCGCCAGCATAATAGCTGGGATGTGGCCAAAGGGGTAGCTTGTCATTGAATATATTCTATTCCAGCTTCTGAATGCACAAATCCAAGGAAATTTTTCCTTGAAAAGACACTGATATATTTACTTGGAATAGCATTATACACATAAATCAAGAGCTTTGGCAAGAAAATCAGTACTTGAAGGTTTTAATTCTGCATCATGGATTTGTTATATGACTTTGGGGTAGTTACTTATGCTGCCTCACCCTTCTCATTTTAAAAATGAGCGCATTGCCTGTAAACAGGTATCACTAAGAGCCTGGAAGCAACATAGGGTATAGCTAATGCTCATGGCGATCACTGAAATATACATACAGAAATGTGCTCAAGTCATATGCTTATGTCCCAGCGACTTTTTACAAGACGAAAACACCCGGATAACCACCACCCAGATCAGGAAATGGAACACCACCAGCACCCATCATGGCACTCTCAGGTTCCTCTTAGTCACAAACTCCACCTCATTCCGAAAGGAAAGTGCTGTCCTGCCTTTTACCCCATAAATTAGTTTTTGTGTGTTTCTGAATCTTGTGTAAATGGAATCATCCATACATGCTCTTTTGTTTCTGGTTTGTTTCACTCACTGATATGGCTCTAAAATTTATTCATGTTGATGCAGGTAGCAAAGATCCCATCATATGAATATGCCATGATTAATCTATTTAAAAAATAAGAGTGCATTGGATTAAGTGACTCTGTAGTCTCTCCTTGGTGTAAAGTTTAAAATGGAATTATTGTTCAGAGAAATGTGTTCTGGTGTATAAGTTACATGATTATCTTGTGGTAGCTCATATAGGACCGCATTTAATACAAGCCCGAATTCCTGAGAAAGTAGAATAGAGTAATTTTTAAAGATGAAGATGTTTGGGCCTAATACATATCAAAAGAAGAGTTTATGTGTTTTTTATTATGCCCTGTACTAATAAATTCACCAAACATATACTGAGCATCAGACACTATATTAGGAACTTTTAGTTTTCACAACAATTCTGAGGGTATCATAATTCCATTTTTATAGGTGATAAGACAGTCTTAGAAAGTTAAAATTAGTTGCCTATTTTTATACAACTTCTAAGTGGCAGAAGTGTGAATTTAGGCTGCTTCATTTGACTTAAAATTCATAGTTTTTCTACTGCATCCCCTTAAAGATGACCAAGGTTTAATCTCTGCATGCCTGTAGTTTGTATTCTTGTGGGGTAGGGAGATACAAGTGGGTAAATTAAATGAGAATTTTAATATGGCAGATAAAAATTGTAATACAGATGTCTTAGTTTGTTCCTACTTCTATAATACAATACCAAAGACTGGGTAATTTAGAAATAATAGAAATTTATTTCTCACAGTTCTGGAGGCTGAGAAGTCCAAGATAAAGGCACTGGTAGGTTCGGTGTCTGGTGAAGGCTCACTCTCTGCTTCCAAGATGGTGCTTTGTTGCTGTGTTCTCATAGCAAACAAGACCAAACTGGCTCCCTTAAGCCCTTTTGTAAAGACACTAATCCCATTCATGAAGGCTCCCAATTACTTCTTAAAGGCCCTACCTCTTAATATTGCATTGGAGATATAGTTTAAATTTTGGAGGGACATAAACATTTAAACATAGCAACAGGTGTGGAAACCATAGGTACATGAAAGAGGGACACCAATCTCAGCCTGCAGAGTAAGAGTAAGAGAAGGGGGGAATTATAGGATGGAATGGGCAGGGAACATTCAACGGATAACAATGGCATGCGTAAAGGTATGAAATATTTGGGAAACAGTGCTGTGGTAAGACGTTCAAGATGAGTGGCAGGGCTGAAGGGGCAGGAGGAAGGATGTAGGAATGAGGCTGAAGAACGAGGCACAGGTAAGAGGTTGGGGGAGTGGGTTTTCCTTCTCATGAGCTAAAACCTTTCCATGTAAGGAATTTATAGCCATCAAAGGGCTCTCATTATAAGAGAATTATGACTAGAGGCAGTACAGCACAGCAGTGTTAATGTCCTTTAACCAAAGACCACCAGTAACACATCTTTAATTGTTTATGTTGGATTTACTATGTGCTTCAATGAGGGAAAAATACAAAGGTATGAGCAATGGGGGTGTGGTGTGTGTGTCTCAGAGGGTGTTAGAAAATACTTACTGGATTTGGATCATGGTTGGATGATTTTGTGGAGAGTCCAAAGAAATGAGGGTACATTCTAGATAAAGGTCTATCAGTAAACAGGAGAATACAGTGAATTGGTACCTCAATACATCGTATCTAGAAGGAAGGCAGATAAGTGCAGGCATAACCTTGTAATTGGTAAAAAGCAACAGTCACTCATATTAGCTGGGAGAAGGTGATGTGCGATATTTTTGTGATTTGCACAGTGACCTTGTTTGTGTGTGTCCTTAGATACGATTATGAATTGGTCTTGGTGTTGGTCTCAGTTCATCACAGTCACAGTGACCTTGGCCGGTGCTGATGTTCCCTGAGATTGTTTTTCCCAAGAAGAGAACACCACGGCCCAGCTGTGAGTGTGAGGCTAACTCCCAGGTGTTAGAAGCTTCTCTTTTTCAGTTGCTAGGAGTGCAGTGTATGAATTCAAACTGATCCTTTTTATATCCTGGCTCCATTATGTCCCAGCTGAGTGATCTGTCAAAAGTTATTTTTTTTTGTGCCTTAATATCCTTGTCTAAAAATGGAACGATTTCAGAGTTATGAGGAATATATGAAATAATAAGTACTTAGAGCAATTCCTGGCAGGTGGTAAAATCTCAATCAATAAGTGCTATTATTATCATTTTGTAATGGTTACTCTATCGGACTGGGGGAGGGTACCCATGAGAAAGGAATGGCAGAGAAATCATTGGTAGGATGATTCTGGAAGGCAAACAAGAGGAGATTCTCTCCCGAATCGACATAGTGGAAGTAGGCGTGGAGAGAGGGCACAGTCGGTGAGAGCTAAGGGTAAGGAGAGGAAGCTGGACGGTGTACCATGGCTTGGGATTGAATGAATGGGTAGGATGGGAGGTCACCAGTAAATACTGAGAATACAGGAATAGAAAAGCACATGTCAGGGGAGACATTATGTCAGATGGAGATGTCCAGCTGACTGCTGATGACACAGGACTGAAGCTCAGGAGAAAGGTCAAGTGCTGTAGCCTTCGTTGCTTTCTGATGTCTCATAGAGGGGCCAGCTGTTTAGGTGAAAAGAGAAGTGCTGCTGACCTTGGCCTCGGGTCCTTCCTTGACTTCCTCTGTAGGACTGTGGGAGTGGGTCTCTTTATTTCATATTTAGTATCAAACCTAGGTCTGCTTCAGTAGACCGTCAGAAGTTATGGATTTGACTTTAATCAACAACATGAAATATTTGCATGTCAAGAACTTGTCAGAGATTTTTAACCTTGAACTCTTTTCTGCTCAATACTTAATCAAAACTTGGATGGAAAAAATGGTACATATGGAACGCCTCAAAGGTGTGCTTTTCTAGATACTTTCTTAGGTGGTAACTTTATCTTTCTCTATCTTTCTCTATCATCTATCATCACCTATCTGTTTTTATTAATCTGGCCATCAGATTTTCTGAGTACTTGGACCACATTATTTTGGCTCTTTGCAGGATTGCTTTTTACTGAACTGTGATTTGGCATTATGCTGGCAGCTTGCACTGAGAGATAATAAGAACCATTGTTTATTTTTTTATTCATTGTTTTGATATTGTGGAGAATCTGGTTCTTTATATTGCCCAAAGGGGACATTATGAGGACTCTTGGGAAAAAAATGTTTCCTAGAAATCAATAACATGGTTTTTTTTTCTGGACATAATTGAATTGAATAGCTGATGATGTCTCCCTCTTTGTACTGACTGCTAGGAAGCTCAGAGTAAAATATATGGTACCTACTAAAGCATCTGATAATTATGACATTTAATTATGGTACTGATAATACTTCTGGCTTAAAAAATTATTTATTTATTTTTTGATTCTCCAGGTGAGGCTTGAACCTGTAGGGTTATTTTATCTACCCTACTTTTATTTCCCCTTACACATGATTTTCTCAATTATTTTAGTCTTGTAAATTGCTTCAGTTCTTGTTTGGAATGAGGAGTGTATATGCATACACACATAGAGGCATGTACATACATATACGTACAGCCATCCCTCAATATCCATGGGGGATTTGTTCCAGGAACCCCCCACAGATACAAACATTTGCAGATGCTAAAGTACCTTATATAAAATGGAACAGTATTTGCATACAATCTACACCTACTTTCTGTGTATTTTAAGTTATCTCTAGATTACCTAAATACCTAAAATAATGTAAATGTTATATAAATAGTTGTTACAGTGTATTGTTTAGGGAATAATGGCATGAAAAAAATCTGTACATGTTCAGTGCAGATGCAACCATCCATTTTTTTCCCTAAATATTTTTTATTTGCTGTTGGTTGAATCTTCAGATGTAGAACCTATGGATACAGAGGGTTGACTGTGTGTGTGTGTGTGTGTGTGTGTGTGTGTGTGTGTGTAGCAAGTAACAGAATTGCGTTGGCTCTTCTATGTGAAATATAAAAATAAAAGCAACACCTTAATTTCTATCACTGCAGAGTTTTACCTTGATAAAAAGGATATATTTTTAAAAAATGCAATATGTGATAAAATATGGGTCAGCCGTTTTGCTTATATGACAGAGTATATTAGGTAAAGCTCTGGATTTCAAATCAGAAGATTGGATTTCACCTTTCTTGGTCTGTTACTAGCTGTGTGGCCTCAGGCAAGCTGTTTAAGCATTGCGAGTTTTGCATTTCATGGTAGAGTGAGGGTGAAAATACTTGCTCTAGCCAACTTAGCTTTATTAGAAGGATCAAATTAAATAATGCATGAGCCTCTGTAAACTGTAAAGAGCTATAGGTAAGATTATTAATTAAGCTTTGATTCGAAGTGAAGGATATTTCAACTTATTAGTGGGAAATGTATCTACCATAGTGTAGAAAAGGAATCATCAACTCGAATGACAATAAGAATGAGCAGGGTGAGAGAAAAATAAACTTGTGATTCTCAGCAATTTTATGTCATTTTCGATAGAGGCATTAGTAATAGAAATGCTTATCTTTTAATTTTACAAGAGCAAAATGGCAGTTGACACTCAGACACAGTATGAGTAGTAAGTGATAGAAACTGAGATAACAGAAGGGGGCAAATGCCCTGAAGAAGAGGCAGCCACTGTTCAGTGCCAGCTGATGGCTTCTAGGAAAGAATTGGGGATGGTGTGCACAGATAATTTTTCTCCAAATAATTTGGGAAATTAAATTTTTGTAAGCTCTGTCAATTTATAACTTTTTGCAGTTAGTTCCAAATTTAAAAAGATACATAAAGTGGGTTAACACTGTTCAGGGAAAACCAAACATGATATTTGACCTTTGGGATACTTGTTCACCATTTCTGCTCTGGAAAGTGTTTTCAAAATTCACCTTGCATTTGATGCTACATACATCTAAGGAAGAAGACATTTGTGAGTTGTTTTCAGAAAGTAAAGGTGCGTTTATTTTACCAAGCATTTCAAAGCCTTTTCTCTAGTGAATATTCCTTAAAATGTATATACATTATGTTCTAAATATATTCAGTTTTGTTTCTAAAAGTCACTCTTTACTGTGAATGCATTATAGAGGTATACATTAAAATGCAAGGTTAATATAGTTGTAAAGTACAAAAGTAGCAGTATTTGTAAATAACCATTTGTAAATAATGTATAATTTTGTTTAGTGTTTAGTGTTGGTGCTCTCTGCCTAGTTGTGGATAATACACATATATATCTACATACATACACACACACACACACCCCCTAAGAGTCCTAGAGGCTATATTCCACTAACATCAAAGGAACTGTTGACTGCTTATTATGGTAGTTCTTATGCATAGGAGATCATAAAGTATCAAAGAGAAAATAGGACACAGTTTATTCACCCAGTCTGTTTATGTTCAGTCAATCCTCATTCTTCACAGATTTCTTATTTGAAAATTCTATTTGCTAAAATGTATTTGTAACCCCCAAATCAATGTTTGTGGTGCTTTCATGGTCACTCAAAGACATGAACAGAATGGCAAAAAATTTGAGTCACCTGAAGTCAATATTCTCAGCTGAGGTCGAACAAGGAGATGCTCTACCTGTTTCAGCCCTCATGCTGTAAACAGGTATTCTTTTTGTGGTCTATTTAGTGCCACTTATTTTCTTGCATTTTGCAGGGACTCTTTCTCATGGTGATTATTTAAGGATTGCTATTTAAAATGGCCCCCAAATGTAGTGCTTTAGTGCTATCTAGTGTTTCTCTGTGCAAGAAGGCTGCCATATACTTTATAAAGAAAATAGCGTGTTAGATAAACTTTGTACAGGCATGAGTTATATTGCTGTTGATCATGAGTTCAGTGTTAATGAACAATATATATTAAATAAGCTGCCTTTAACAGAAACAGATATCAAACAAAGTTATGTATTGATGGGTTGACAAAAATGCGACCAGAAGCTCACAGTAACTTAAACTTGTATTTTCCACAGGGACAATGATTCAGTATTTGCTAATTCAGTGTTTGCAACAACTTGTAGAAATAACAGCTGTGAATAATGGTACCAGGTGTTTTATGAAAACACTGAGATGATTGATTGATTTTCAATATGTGTACAGATTTGCAGATACCACTTTGGTATTGGAAGAAATACCTCACAAACTCAGTGCTAGCTAGCTATATGATAAACTGTAAATGCGTTTTTAGGACTTCAGTTATCCACATTTGTGTATCAGTTAACAGTGGATATAGGGGGTGCAGAAGCCTGGCTGGGGACTTAGCCTACCTAGGCTCTTGTCCTAGCTTTGTTACTGATTAGCTGTGTAATATTGGAGAAGCCATTTAGCCATTTTCACTATCTTGGACTCTTTTTTCTTATCTCTAAAATCAACAAGTAGAGCGAAGATTTCCAAAGTTCTTTCCAGTGCTAAAATTATATATATTTATAAATGAAAGTCTTAATTTAGTGCTCATGTGGTTCCCTGTGATCTTGGGAAAGGGGAAAAGAAAGGTTACAAAAATGTGTCTATATAAAGCACAATGCCTACAATTAAGAAGGTAATAATTTGGGAGAACACACTAAAATTGAAATAGTAAACAAGAAGTGATGTCTAATTAAAGGATAAATTAGATCCTATTGAGCAGTGGTTTTCCACCTGGATATGGATGGCAGAGTGGCTTATTAGAATCACCTGGCAGGGAATAATTTTCCAGATTAACTACACATAACCCTCCTCTCCACTTTGTGTTGTTCCTTAGAATGTGTTCCAACAGAATACACTTTAGAACTGTTGGTAATGAAAGTTGTTTAAGTTCTAAGAAAAGGGCAGTAACCTACTTGCTGTCATTCTGGAGCTTTGTCCTTCCCACAACTCCATTTAGGTGGTCATGCCTCTGAAGGGGCTGCTTTTTCATGGTCATGTTTGTTCCAGGTGATCCTGACTCTACCCCCTCATCTCAGTTCCACAAATGGCTGGATTATATAAGGGTACCTGATACAAAAGAAGCTAATCCGTAGGCTGTGACTGACTCTTGGGAAGGCTTGGTGCCAAAATGTGAACGGAGCCTATCCAATTTCCTCTTAGCAAATTTGAACTAGGAAATAGTTACAGAACGAGACAACTGTGGGAATTGAAGGTCAAAGGCAGTTGTGATGTATAGAGAGATGGGGTTGTCATGGATGGGGTTCTTGCAAGATGAAATTATGGAGCGAGAGAGAAAGAGAGGGAGAGAGAGAAAGAGAGAGAGGTGGAAAGGAGAATCTGGCTGGTAGAGATGGCAGCAGAGAAGTAGACACAGAATGACCATCTCAGTCACAGGGCAAAATATTTATTGAAAACCCCAAGGCTCAGCTTTGCTACAAAGTTTTATGCTTTCTGAGACCAAAATTGACCATAATTCCTGGTCTTCCTGATGCCAGTTTGTTCAACACTTCCTGTGCATGTTTATCCTTAAATAACCCCTCATTTGCATCAGCCCGTTGATTCACTTTCTTCCTTGGAACCAAAAAGTCTAACAAAAGTGAGTAGTGAGGCTGTAGTAATCAAAATAATTCATGTTTAATGAGTACCTACTAGGTACTTTTTATTGGTTAACATCAATTTAAAACTGACAGGAATCTTAGAGGCATTTGAGGCCCAGAGGAGTTAAATGACAGAGTCAAAAATAAGTAAATGTGTCAGAGCCAGGACTAGAACCTTGGTCTCCCTGATACCATAGTCCCTGATATTTACATATTGCCTCCATGAATACAGGAAGGATTTCCAGAGGAGGGGAGGTGCAGGTGATGGGGAGGATTTACAGCAAAGGAGAAATGGGCCTTTCACTCAGAGGTAAAAACGTCATGAAGGATATAAAAAGGAATGATACATGGGCGAGAAATCAGGTGATAAGTCAGACATGAGCTGAATATTCCTCTTGGTAAAAGTGGTCCACAGGAGTCATCAGAGCAAGGCTCGAGAGTTAGGCAGGGAAGTTCAGACTCCAGCAGATACAAGAGAACTGTGCTCCATTTGTGACATGGTGAAAGATGGGCTGGTTCTGTGGAGAAATTAGAGTCAGGAAATGGGGCGGAATGTCACTGCATAAACGAAAATTTATATTGAGGATAACTTTCTCCTGAAACAGTAAATTATTTTCCCTTTCGAATCTTTGCAGACCTTCATTTTCATCCCTAGATTTCTGTATCAGAAGGAGGCCTATGACACCATCTTTAGGTATGATTTTATAGAACTCCTTAATGGATAACTATACTTAAATGATGTTCTCTTGTCTTTCTGTCACAAACATCGTTCTAGACATTGGGTATGGCTTGACTTTTCAGGAACCACTGGTGATCATAATCCTAAATGTACAGTAGGTTGTACTTCCGGAGTGTCAATCATCAACTGTGAGCTTTTGAGCCAAAATGTTCCTCTTGGGGATACCAAAAGAAAGGGGCAAATTGTTTGAATCCAAATGGAAAAAGAATTTAAAAAAAGAAAAGCAGAATGAAACTCGGTGGAACTCTTTTGACAAAAACATTGCCCACAGCCATTTGCTTCATTTTTTTTTAACTTGAAAAAACCCTTATTTTGTGTTATGTAGACATAACATTGTTATTTTTTGAGGGCTTAATTCTAAATGAAATTCTATTTCTTCAGTTTAAATCTGTACCCCCCAGTTTTATTCTCACATAGCCACCATTCTTTTAACACTGCCCACTAAAGAGATTTAGATTTTTATCTTCAGAGGTTTATGTATTTTCACATGTATCCCAGAAAGGAAAAATTTAGAGAAAGAAAGCCATTAAAACAAATGAACAGTTCTGTTTACCAAACAGCCTTTTGTAAAGCAAGACTTCAATGGCAATTTTGTTGTTGTAACTGGAATTTGATGTTTTAGGAATAAAGAAACCATGCAAATATAGCAAACAACACCAACAAAATAAGGGATTATTTCATAGAGAAAAAAAAGGTAGTATTTTCCTTTTGTCAGAAGTATTTTACCTATATTTAATCATTCTTTATATCTGTAGATCTCTATTATTTTCAGTCTTTCTGTGATTTTAATCAATGTTTATTAAGCCATGTTTCTATGTTGAGCACCGTGGTTAAATCTTTCTATTGTAAGGATAAGTTTAATTACTTTGAAATGAGGAACTATTTAGTGAAATCGACAACACAGCCAAGCCAATTCTCATTTTAATATTAGGTTTGGGGTTTTTTTTGCTTAAGTTGACTGGATAGTAACATGTGCAACTCACTATGCTTCGACACAAAATATGATTTTTGTTTTATGGAACTATAAACCAGGCATTTGATGTGGTGTATTCACTCAAATAACTTGCCAGTTTGTTGAAGGAAAAGGGTCTTATTCTTGTGGCACCACTCAAAACAATGATCAATTCAGTTCTCCAAGTATTTGGCATTGTTAACAAACTGCGTAGAGACAGAACAACTCCAATATTTGGAGGGTCTTTTCTTTTTCTTAACCACCAACTGTTCCATGTTCATGAGAAAAAAATAGTCTTTATTATTATTATTTTTAAAGGACACCTATACCTTCAAAAACAAAAAGTATTGACTTGTAGTCAAAAAAGACAAATCCTATATTTCATTCTGGCACTCACTAGACCACGTAACTTTGTTCTAATTTCTTTATCTTATCAGGCTTCATCTATAAAATAATAGTGTTTGGACAGGAACAGAAAACCAAATGCCTCATGTTCTCACTCATAAGTGGGAGTTGAACAATGAGAACAGATGGACACAGGGAGGGGAGCATCACACACTGGAGCCTGTTGAGGGGCGCGGGGCTAGGGGAGGAATAGCATTAGGACAAATACCTAATGCATGCAGGGCTTAAAACCTAGATGACGGGTTGATAGGTGCAGCAAACCACCATGGCACATGTATACCTATGTAACAAACCTGCACATTCTGCACATGTATCCCAGAACTTAAAGTAAAATTTAAAAAAATAGTGTTTGGATTAAATAAAACTTTCAAGCTTAGGAAATTCACACAACAGAAAATTAAGAAAAAAATATTGTGGACCAATCCAGATTTGTAAACTTTTAGTTTGTCAAGTAATCACAAGTAACTCTTCCCCAAGAAAATCATCTTTATTACTATTATTCCATTAAATAAAGTATTTTAACACGAAAAACGTAGGAAGTCCACTTTCAGAATAACAGGCAATCCTTCACATTGAACAAATTGAGCCTTATCAAAACTTGCTACATTGCCCTTACTTTTTTCATTTTGACTTAAATGGTGAACACTTTGACAAGGAGTGGCAGTAGCTTTGGGACTCTTATTCGGGAACTGCTGAGCTAGATGATTATATATCTATATCTATCTACACCTACAAGCTCTACAGTTCTTTGATTTTATGATTCTATGTTTTGTTCCTTCCTTTAAGCATACATTTTTGCAGTTTGGAGGAAGATATAAGATCTATTATCAGGTTTTGATCTTTTTTTTTTGGTGTGACTTCCTTGTGAGAACTTTTATCTCACTCATATCTCTCACAAAATCAAAGATATTTCAGAAAATTGTTTGAGCTAACATGTCTAGTGAGAAAAGGGGGCATGGAGGTTGGAGACACTGAGCAGGAACTCTAATTAGTGAGAATGAAGCCCGAGTTAGGGAGCCTTTTCTTATTTTCCTTTAATTAACCTTAGGACTTCTACTAAGAAAATGAGGCATAGGGGTGAGACTTGAGGGTTGGGCAGTGATAGGAGTATGGTCTAGATTTCCCATTGATTGGGAGAGTGTGTGAATGAATGAGTGAATGTCCTTTCTCACATCATTAAGACTTCTCCTGGTTAAAGAATTTAGGTTATGTTTATGATGTTCTAAAACTGTTTGGATTTGGGGAATCATTACAATTAAATGGATCATC
Source organism: Homo sapiens (assembly GCF_000001405.40). NCBI lineage: Eukaryota > Metazoa > Chordata > Mammalia > Primates > Hominidae > Homo > Homo sapiens. The sequence goes on from NC_000012.12 coordinate 72,327,502, forward strand.
TAGCAGAACACACTGAATCACCAAACTGACCGTAGAGATTTATTTTCAGAATTCAACACTATATTTATAGTAACATTAGCAACAGGGGAAACTGCTCTGAGATCACAATTAAGAGAAGTTGTGTATCATTTTAGGAGATTTTTTTAGGAAATTTTATTTGCTTGCAGACGAACACTTTTTTTCATTTGAAACTTCTTAAATCTTGGATGAAACTAGCTTTTAGCAGCTGTTCTCTTTTATGGGATTAATTTTAAAAGAAAAAAAGATGTAACATAAAATTAACACCTAAGCTATTTGATTACATATCAGACTGTAAATGTTAAAAAAAAATCCCAGCTTTGACTTTCAAAGATTGTTTTGGGAATTTGTTTCGCTCAGGCTTCTTTTTGCCACTTGTCTCACACACATTTCCTCATCAATTTTCTTACTAGAAGTGTGTATAGGGCAAGCAGCCCAGTTTTAGTAATTGTCATTGCTTGGCTTTTGTCTAATTAACACCAGTCACTTGGATTTTTGCATACTGACATGCAGTGTAAATGGCCCACGAGTATCATCAGAGGAAGAAACCTGGCTTGCTAGGTTTAAACCATGTCAGGTCATGAATTATATCCATCAAAGCCAAAATATTCAAATCTGAGGCCTGAAAAGTCCATTCTGAAATTGATGCTAGTTTGGTGTACTTCTGTTTTTCCATGTATTGACACACACTAAAATTAGATTTCTATAAAGGTTCCCCTTGATAGGGTGGGCTAGGCATTCAAGGACAATTAAAACAGAAGCTGAGTGTTACAGACACATTGTAAGTAACTGCCTAATTTGGAATTTCTTTTTCTTGGTAGGTCACCTTACTACAATTTAATGGTTTAAATTTAAGTTTGATCTCTATTCTTTTCACAAACAACATTCACATTTCTATTGGTTTTTTTAAAATGCTTGTGCATAAGCCTAAAGTTTAAATCTTGCATTTACTTTTGGATTATTGATGATTTAATTCATCATGATCTGAGGAAGATAAAAATAGGAAAGCAATGTGTGTCTTTATGATTGGGGGCCTTTGTGGGGGCATACGTATCATCTTTATTCTAGACACTTCTGGGATTTTAGTGTATTTTTGCCATATTATATTTTAGAGATAAACTGTACTACACATGCATAATAAGTCAGCTGGGCCAGAAAAAAATTTGCTGAAGTGGTTGAACATGAAAAGACTTGGGTGAAGTAATTTTATAGAGAGGAAAAGTTTCTTTGCTGCCAAGTTTGTTTATCTTGTCATACTATTAGTTTTCAGGTAGCATAATTTCAAGGGATTTTCCTAATTGGCATAATCCTTTTTGAGTAAATATTTCATTGTTTATTTTAGCTTATACCATAATAACTAGTTTAATAGCTCAATTATATAAGCTTCTTTGAAATAACTTATCCTTTATATAGGATAAAAATTATAAGTTATATTTTTTATATGGTTTCATTTCTCTGGTGCCACTGAAAATATGTCTGTGAAAAATACAAAAGAGAGTCTCAAAGTTTTGTAAAGTTCTTCTTTATTCATTCCATCACAAAAATATTTATGAAGAGCTCATCATATTCTTGTCCTTTGCTAGACTCTTGGGATATAGTAGATGTTTCCCAGCTCACAGTTGGCTGGTTAGGGACAGATAAGAAAATCAGTGATTATCGTATATTGTCTACTATGTTAAATGAAGCAGAGGGCATTATGGCAAAGCTAGAGGCACATTCTTACTTTTGGATATTCATTGAATAAACAGTAGTGGGTGAATAATTTATCCACTGTAGGTAAACCAGTCCTTAAAAGTTTAAATAGCAGGAAACAAGCAATTTTAAAACATTAGGCTACAAGAAAATGCCGTTTGATTTGGAAACACGAATCAGGTATATTTAGAGCAGATCTTGGGAAATCAGAGATTTACTCTGATGATAGTAAATGCATTGAACCCATTTTTACCCCTCCATGTTGGTAATGCAATAGCTTTTCTTACCGAGTCTTTAAAGTGGGTGTTGTATAACATTTTAAAGGCAAGTAAATGGAATTTGTTCAAAAAACCAATTTCTTTGGTTTCTGAGGACATTTATAGCTCATTCCTATTTTGTTTCATTATTACATCACAGGTTGCATTGATAAATGGTAGAATCATATATCTCCATATTAAAGAAGAATAGGTGATGGAAGTAGAACATTTTCTTTATTGTTTGTCCCATTTGGATGGAGAAAAAAGAGGTTCCCATCTAGTTTACACCATGAAATTATGGCTTATTTATCCTATGCCAGTTCCCTCAGAGAGGAAAAAGATGTCTAGGGGCTTTTGATACCAGAAGGAATCCCTTATCCTGGATTCAGTTTGTTCTCATAAAAATTTAAGAACACTGATATGGCAGGAGCGGTGGAGGGAAAGCACCAAGAGAAACATAAGGGAATCAGAGAGATGAGGGATGAACGTGGGACTCCAAAAAAGATAAATTGATCCGCTGTCAGTGCAGTGGAATGAAAATGAAATCAGTGTAGGCAGTGCCCATTTCCCTCCTCATGCCTAGCCACAAACACTGCTTTAAATAAAACGTATTTCTTTTATTTCCCATTTCTTGCTTGCTAACTTAAAGATAAATGACTTGCTTGCAAGTGTAGTGGAAAGGAAATAAAATCGGTAACAGGCAGTGCCCAAAATGCCCCAGCTGCTTAACGGCCTGGCCTTGAGCAATACACAGTTTTTATGGAAAAGTTTTACTGTTCTGCTGTTAAGGAAACAAAAGCAACTCTCCCCACCTCCCTACCCCCCACCTCCCAATTCTTAAAAAATAAAGGCAAAGAAAAGTAAAAAAAAAAAAACCAAAACCATAGCTCAAAAAAGCCAAAGCAATTCAGAATCATGCACATAGTTGGTTCATGTGGCCACAGGGATGTTACGTGAGGGAGCGGAAGTGTCAGAACTGGAGCCGAGCGAGCAGCGCTCTGCCTGGAAAGCTACTCTCACGGCGATGGGAGAGCCTGTGGTCATGCTTCTGCAGCCAGGGGTCAGCGGCTGGTAATTAGACCCACTGGTGTACGTAGGCAATTGGATAAGCAATTAAATAGTTTGTGAGCAGCAGCTTGGAGCACTCTCAAAGGCTGGCAGTTAGGCAGCTCTGTAATTTGAAGTAACTGGGTAGTTTCATACACAGGGCAGGACAGTTTAGTGCTGGGAAGTAGGAAAATAAAGTACTTTCAGAGCGAAAATAATATCCTATTAAAAATAATAGGAGACATTTAGTGGGTAGTCCCTCCTGTGCCTGACACTAAGCTTGGGTGGTTTACACCTACAGTTTCCTTAATCTTTAGAACAGCGCTTCTCAAACTTTAGCATGCCTTAGATTCACCAGGAAGACTTGTTGCAACACAGGTATCTGGGTCCCATTGCCAGGATTCTAATTCAAGAGGTCTGGGGTGGAGCGTGAGAATATGCATTTCTAACAAGTTTCCAGGTGATGTTGCTAGCTGTTGCTCCGAGAACCACATTTTGAAAACCACTGCCGACATGAAACCCTCTGTGGTAATAGTAACAATAGCAAACACCTGCTGTATGCCAGGCAATTTGCTAAGCAATTCACATCTGTTATCTCATTTAATCTTTACAAAACTTTATTGGGTGTATCATTTACTCTCTTTAAGTGTAGAGCTTTGGGCTCCCACAAGTCAAAAGACTTACCCAAAGACATAGATAGAACAAGTAATGGAGCCGGGATTTGAATGTAAGTGTTGATTTCCAAAACCATGTGCTAACCACTATCCCATAGCACTTACCGGTGTCTTGTCTTTTCATATAGCTTGAGTCATATTTTTGACCTGCCCCTGTTTTCCAAGAAAATAATGGAAAAAGCTACTGAAGATCATTAATTCTCTTTACTTACTTAGCAACAAGAAAGTTAACTCTCTCAGTTAATTGTATCTTGACAGAAAGACATTTCATTACTATGCTACCGAATGAACTAATTATTTCTGCTATGGAGCTGCTCACTTGTCACTTTGCTCTACTTCCAGTACCTAAAAATAACTGAGATACAGACCTCCTGGGAAGGGTGGCATCAGGTATGGCTGAGCAAGCTGGGCGAGACTTCATGGAAGAGGTAGGACTTGAGCTGAAAAGGTGGGTGGACCCAGGTTTATGAGGGAAAAGGAATGAGTTGTGGGGCACTCTACGAGATGTGTGTGCCTTTGTATACATGCAGTGAGAAAAATGGCCCAACCTAGAGGAAGTTGTGTGGCAAGAGGTGGGAAGATAGGCATGTTGAATTACATATGGATCAGTTTGAATGACTAGAATGAGAAGCTGGGTTTAGAAATGATTTGACCAACTCTACATAAAGGAAAGTTGAATTAAGGTGAGTGCACTCCTTGTCTATATTCTTTACTTCTTGTGCCAAGCTATTCTTGAGTTGCTATAAAGACATACCAGAGGCTGGGTAATTTATAAAGAAAATAAGTTTTATTGGCTCACTGTTCTGTAGGCTTTACAAGAAGCATGGTATTGGCACCTGCTTCTGATGAGGGCCTCAGGGAGCTTACAATCATAGCAGAAGGTGAAGGGCAGAGGGCAGCCAGTGTATCCCATGGTGAGAGCTGGGGCAAGAGAGCCAAGGGGGAGCTCCCAAACTCTTTTTTTTTTGAGATGGAGTCTCGCTCTGTCATCCAGGCTGGAGTGCAGTGCCACGATCTCGGCTCACTGCAAGCTCCACCTCCCGGGTTCACGCCATTCTCCAGCCTCAGCCTCCCAAGTAGCTGGGACTACAGGCACCCGCCACCATGCCTGGCTAATTTTTTGTATTTTTTAGTAGAGACGGGGTTTCACCGTGTTAGGCAGGATGGTCTTGATCTCCTGACCTCATGATCCACCCACCTGGGCCTCCCAGAGTGCTGGGATTATAGGCATGAGCCACTGCGCTCGGCCCCAAACTCTTTTAAACAACCAAATCTTGAGTGAGAACCCACTTATCACCCAGGGGATGGTGCTAAACCATTCGTGAGAGATCCGCCCCCATGATCCAATCACCTCCCACCAGGCCCAGCCTCCAACATTGGCAATCACATTTCAGCATGAGATTTAGAGGGAACTAACATCCAAACCATATCACTTCTTTAATAATGTCTCTTCCACAACTAATTATTTATTTCAAAAATATTTATTGAATATTTTCTACATACTAGGTACTGAGTCTACTGGGCTAGGCACTAGAGTGAGTTAAGGACAGAGACACTGCTCTCAGAGACCTTACAATGGAGCCCCTTGCTATTCAGTGATCAGCAGCATCAGTATTGGGCATCATCTCGGAGTTTGTTAGAAATGCAGAATCTCTGGTGCAGCCTAGACCTGCTGAATCAGAATCCACATTTAAACGATATTCTGAGGCAATTCATTTGGACCTTAATGTTTGAGAAGCACTAGACCATTCAGCTTTTAGCAATTTGCCTTCTTCTCAAGTTTACTGAAATTATCACCACCTTTGAAGGATAGTCTGACTTAGGAGATGAATACATTTCCTAGAATGAGCAAAGTAAAATTAGGAATTTATGAGGATGCGAAGGAAATAAAATCCTTGACTAATGGTTGTCAGGTCCTTGATTTAATGCCCCCAGTAATGGGGAGTGCACTCATTACCTTTCTATCTCTTCTTCAGCTTCTAACTCAGGGCAAAGAACTTTGGTGGTACCCAGTGAAGACTGACAGATTGGTTAAATGATGGAGAAACTAATACAGATTAAATCAGAAAATATAGATTGTCTTGAACATTTACCAATATGTATTGATGTCCTACTATAAGAGTCAATGCAAGGATAAAAACAATAAGGAAATATATTTTAGTAGATTTGAAGGTTGTCTGAATTGGAAAATGTTAACAATTAGAAATTTGGAATAGGAGAGAGTAGTAATCCGGGCGAAGAGAATTGAGACCTAATTTTAGAAAAGGTGTTTTGGGGAGATATTGTGAAAAATTTGTGACAGTAATGAGGTTAAAATCAGAGCTCCGTACTACTGAAGATTTCTTGTTCTATGCACTACAAGTGGATAGACATGGGCGATAGGAACCCAGGAGATAGAAATTCACAAACCTCAATGATTAAGTGTATAGACAAGAATGCATACATATGTCCTTAGTAAATCTTGTCTAATCCTCTTGCCCATGTGGCATGAATACACTTCTAAAGATGGAAATGGGGACAAAAATATCTTAACACCATCAGATTGAGCGAGTGCTTTGAATTTGGGATTGAGGTAAAGTGTTATTTTGAACCTTGGTCATCTCTTAATATTTTTCTGTTAGGAGTACATAGACTTCCTGTTGGAAATCCTATTATTCAAGAAACATAGTTTTTTAAAAAAGCATTATTATGCTGAATAATTCAAATTTAAGTGACAGTGGATGGAGAGAAGTGATGTTTTATGGTCCAGTTATTTAGGGATTAAAGTCAACCGTTTGATTTTCTATAGCTAGTGGAATGGGTATAATTTTAGGTTTATTGAGAGTCTTCTGAATGGCTTTCCTAATTACTCTCTCTTCTTTTAATTCTTTGAAAGTGGAGAGAGAAGAGCAGCAGTGGCTTCTACCATTATAATTGCATTTCAAGGGGCATGGCATAAAATAATCACATTACAGTGCTCATGGAGAGTAAAAATTTCTGTGTAATATATTGTTCAGCAAATCATTCATCATCATAATTGCCATAGTCGACATTTTGCTCATTTGTAGATCTTTCCTTTCTTGCCAGAATTTTTCTTCAGTAAAAATGATTTAAAGAGTAGCTACAGGGTTCAATCCGATTCTTCATGATAGAACAGATATAAGAACAGTGTATTTTCCAAATCAGCTCCTACTCAAACTCTAGTTTGTTGTGAGTGCGCATTCCTTAGGAGCTTGCATTTTAAGAGTCCACAACTAAATTGGGGTTCTAGCACCAGAGTGGCTAGCAACCCTGCCCTAATAAGAAATGAAGGGGAGCCGGATATGGGTGTTTATAGTGTACTTTTTACAGGAAATTTCTTTTACCTGGCAGACGGCCTGATGCCCAGCTGTCTGATCTGCAACCAGGGGGTCCCTCAGCTAGGAAACTTGTTTCGCCTGGCAAATGCCCTTGTAGCTCTTGTCTGATCCATATCCAGTTTATGCATGCCTGACCATAGCTCTAGAACTGGGAGCCTGACCTTGTGTTCACTCTGGCCTCCCAGGGAAAACCCAGCCTTAGTAGGCCGAAGTTCATCAGATGGAAGGCACAAATTCAATACACCACCACAATAGGAAATAAGTTCAAAGATTTATTACTTACAGATCCTGAGCGAGGAGGGTGCAATGATTGAGGGCAGTCCTTCATCCCCGGGTCACGCCAGGCAGGAATGAAAAGAGTCAGGCAGGGGGACGGAAGAGAGCATGGCAACTAACAGTGGATATAAAAGGAATAGGATCTTCGTCACTTTTAAGTTCGCAGGCAAATGCCAGAATGATCCCTTTAAAGGAAGCAGCAGGAAAGCAGAGAGGGTAGGCAGGAGAGATGCCTCTAAGTTCTTACCTCTGGCCACAGCCTAATCCATTTGGGTGTGGTGTAGAACTGGAAACTGTGTCAAGGGTGACTATGCCCTGCTTCTGACATGAGAGAGTTAAACTTATACTCAAAATGGATGCTGAGGCAACATAAAATTATAAAAATTCACTACAGCTTGCCAATCACAGAGAATTTCCTTTATGTGCTCTTGGGGGTAAATTCTAGATTCTAACAAGAGATTTCAGGGAGTACACCCCATTATTACTGCAAAGGCTTTATATCTATTTTAGGAAGACCATTCCTTGAACTGCAGACATTAAATACAAATGAACAGTGGACACCCATGTATGATACTAGAAATTAATTTGGCATTTAGTCATCTTTTATTTCAGTCTTTTCTGTGGTGGGCCAGAAAGATAAAGTAGACAGGAACCAAAACGAGACATTTGGCACCAAACACCAAACTGTACTTAGGTAGGCATATATCATGCAGATCTTCCCCCACCTCCTGCCAACTACCTCTCTGCACACACACAATCATTCATTAAGTAAGTGCTCTCCATGAGCACTGTAATATGAGCAAACTGAGGGCACAGACGGTGTCATAATCATGTAGGCTTGCCTTGTAGAGCCTTGCATTTAGGAATTTTTAAATAGCACTTGAACTGATTGAATGAAACATTGAGTAAAATATTTCCCAGAAATTGTGGCAACAATTCAGAATGTTGATTTATATCTCTGGTGATCATATTTGGAAGCCCAAAATTGGAGACAATTGTTTGATAAGTGGGCAAGATATTTGAATTCAGAGCTGCCTTAAAAAACCCAGGGTGTACAATTGCCACATCTGTATTTCTGTTAAAGAACATGAGGTTCATGAACAATTATTTTAGAAATGCTAGTGAGCAAGTTGGATAATACATTTAACACATTAAAAAAAGTAAAAGTTGTAAATTTAAGATGATTTTTGTTAGACATAAGCACATTTAAGTAGTTAGGAATGGAAGTACATATGTAGGATGTGGGATAGAGCATTTATGGTGAGGCTGGAGATGCAGTTTTCTTTAGGTGCCAATATAAGGAGAAAAGAATTTTAACATTTGTTGAGAACTTACCATTTATTATCTATTCTAAAACTTCAGAGCCAGGTTTTATTATACCTGTTTTGCCACTAGGAAATTGAAGTTCAGAGAGGTTATTTGACTCCAAAACCTGTGCTGCACACTGTTTTATGTTAAACCGTTGTAAAATCTTAGACCCACAAAAGGAAATCAGCAGCTAATACAATCTCTCCTAATCCCAAAAGTTATTCATATTATCTATGAATGAAAATATCATGAGAATTTCCTCTGTGCTTTTTCCTTATATTTAATCAGCTCAAGGATTGTCCTCTCCATGAAATTTGCTTTCTCTGTGCCTTTCAGGATGGGTTAGCTGCCTATGGCATGTCAACATGTTGCATTTAGTTATCCCTTTCTGTGTCTGTCTTCCCCAAGAAACAGGTCCTAGAGCCTTGGTACTTGTATTAGTTCATTTTTTGTTGCTGTAATGGAATGCCTGAGACTGGATAATTTACAAACAGTAGAAGCGTATTTGGCTCATGATTCCGGAGGCTGAAAAGTCCAAAAGCATGATGCCCAGTATCTGGTGAGGGCCTTTGTGCTGTGTCATCCCATGGCAGAAAGTGGAAGGCCAGGAGATGTGCAAGAGCAAGAGAGCAGGAGGAGGCCAAACTCACTCTTGTAACAAGCCCACTTTCATGGTAACTAACTCACTGTTGCATTAACAACATTAATCCATTCATTTGGGCAGAGCGCTCATAACCTAGTGACCACTTATTAGGCCCCACCTCCCAAAACTGCTGCATGAACTTTGGGGGACACATTCAAACCATAGCACTACTCAAAGTGGTCTGCAGACTGCCAGCATTGACATCATCTGTGAGCATGTTAGAAATGCAGAATCTCAGGTTTCACTCCAGACTTACTAAATCAGAATCTGTATTTTAAGGAAATTGCCAGGTGATTTGTATGCATTTTAATTGAGAAGCCCCATCCTAGCACATGATTAGTACTCTTTGGAGCAATTAGATGCAACAGTGAATGACAGTAACATACACGAAGCCCACTTCGCTGCTTGAGTTTTAGAAAGGTCCGGTTGCTCCAGCTTCCTGAAGTGGCAGAGACAAGTCTCAGGAGTGTCAGCTGACAGAGGTCTTTTCCTTCTGCTCCTGTAGTTGTTCTTTTCAGGCTGGGATGAGCTGCATGGCTGAAAGGAAAGGGAGATAGTCATGCTCCTCATGCAGGGGCAGAGGAGCTTCAGGCACTCACCCTTCTGGTGCTTTGCCCCAGTATATCCCAGGCAGGAGCAAACAACTCTCAATACACACGTGCTGTGATGCCAGGAAGAAACAAAGGGAGAAGTAAATCTAAAACTTCATTTTTAGACCTTCTTCAGAGACAGCGAGTAGTTTCTCCCCTTAATTATTTGTGGTGTTACCTTGGTGGTATTTATAGATTATGATCAGGTTCCCTCCTTGAAGTTCATTCTCTAGACGGTATAAATTTAGTTTCCCTGAGTGTGTCTCGTATGTCTTTTCCTCTGAGCCAAGTCTGAAATGCATTCTATTCCCCTTTGCGTGCTCTGTGATTTATCTGCATTATTCCCAAACTGCTTGAGTCAGACGAGTTCCTGCTTATGTCTTTTGCTGGTCTAGATTCACTGCTGCCTCCCTGCCTTTACCTGCTGTTCCTAATATGCATCTCTGAAATTTGCACTGCTATTATTATTATTTTTATTTTTATTGTCAGCCCTCTGAAAACATTTAAATGTAGCAGAAAAATACACTGTTTTCCCATTGCACGTAATTGGCTGTGGTTACACGTAGTACTAGCAACACTTTTAGGTAAGAAGTTCAGATCTGTGAAAAATCTATCGGCAAAATCAAGGAAATCTTCAAGCAGAACTCGGAAAAAAAAGCAACTTATAGAAAATTTCGAATCTGCAGGAATTTTCTGCTAACTGGAACTCGAAAATATGTTTCAGATGACTTTTTGTACAAGTGTCGCTGTGCCTGCTTATGTTTTCACACAGAATGTTGGAAAGAAATGCTTTTTCTTTTTCTTGGCTATACTTATTTATTAGATTGATGCCAAGCTTTTCCTCTGAAGCTTTTTATTGCCAATGTGAGAATCTATTCTACCATCCTGCCTTAGGCAAAAATCCTGTTGTTTTCTAACTAAGGACGGTAGTGATGATTGTTTTTCTGCTTGGCAGTTGTTATGTCACGGTTAGGGTTGATCGTGTAAACAGAATGTGATCTTAATTGGTATTTTCTACTTGTAGCACTTGGTAATTTTTAAATAATTAAAGAAAGATGAAGAAATAGCTAAATTGACCTTCAGAACGTGGGATCATTGATGGCAGAGAAAAGAACGTATTTGAGAATCAGTGTGTGGTATACAGGGGACAGAAGTACTTTGCCAAAAGGAGTTAGAGTGTAGGTTCTAGCTTTTTATCTGACATCCACTCATTATATGACTTTGCCCACGTCACTTGTTTGTACTGAGGATAAGTTTCTTCTACTTCACAAGGCTATAAAGAGGACTCAGTGGTTGATGTATGTAAAGCCCTGTGCAAACAATGATGTGCCATAAACATATCAGGTCGCAGATGATGATGAAGATGCTGTTGCTACTGCTGCTTATGGTGATGTAACTTAAGTCCACGGGGAAGACATATTCTAGATAAATTTTGTGAACCTACAACATGTCTTTATAGAGAGGTACTAACAAAAGGAGACTCTTAGTATATGATTTCTCCAAGAATTTCAAGATATCGTAATCAACATGGTTTGAGTTCTTTAAAGAAGAAAAAGCCTTTAAACGCTTTCTCTTTTGAAATTGGCCTTACATAGGAGGAAAGGATCATATTAAAGTAAACCAATTCAGTTTATCTGTATTTTCAGTAGAAGAATATTTCTTAAGTAAAAATTCTAGAAATAACCTTTTTCTTTGATGTGTTGAATATTGTGATTTGTTGTATGACAGATAATTGCCATCTCACTTTAACTGAATTTCCAGCACGGTGGAGCAATCCCTATGTAAAAGTCCACCTTCTTCACATCTCTTGATTTCTTAGGATACTCCCATAATTTTTTCCTTTTTGGTAAATTTTCACTGTCCTGAAGCTCTTACACAGTTTAATTTCTACTAATTATGTTTACCTTATATTTTACTGAAAATATTGAAACTTTTACTTTCATATTCCTCCTTTACCTTTCCAATAATATTGACTAGTATTACTATCTTCATCCACTGTTATCTCAACGAATGAAGTATTATTTCTTATCTTCAAGACTATCTTTCTATACCTATGCCTTAACCCTTACACCTACTGGTTATGCCATTTCACACTGAAAGTGTACCTTAATAAGACCGTTTACGTTTTTTGGGGGTCTCATTTGCCTCATCTCTAAGGAACGTCAGCATAGAGCTGATAGGGTACTCCAATTCTATTTTCCTTTATCTAGCAGGATTTTGCTCTCATAGTTATGTTTCCAATGAGCATCTTCTATTTCTCCTTTATTGATTTTATTCCTTCTGCCTGAAAACAGACATAATTATTTATTGGTTTGATTATCCATCAATGTGTTCATTCAAAACAAAATCAAATCATGGTTTTATTATGTTAGGCATTGCACATTTAGAAATGAATGAGACACAGCCCTTGACTATGGTGGATACTCTGGTGCTCACCTATCCCCCACCCATTGAGAATGCCTGCTACTAAAGGATCATAGTTGAGTTCTCCACTGGAAATTGCCCTTGGCCACAGGGACCTTATTCAGCCAAGGTTTATCTCCCTGGGAGAGAAGGGGTAAGGGCAAAATAAATGACTGTCTGATGTAAAGATAGACAGGTATGCCTTCTTACCTCGATTTGTGACAACACTGAAGAAACTTCATAGCCACACATCTTCCCTTAGGATTGGCCGAGGCTTCAGTTGCAACTGCATTGCAGGTCAGCTTCTGCCTCTGCCCAGTCCTACCTTCCCCACTTCCTTATGGGTATGTCTTGTAAGAGTATATCCCAACAAACTTTCTGTATGCAACTCTCCCTGTTGCATAACTCACCTGGGAGTATGGGAACTCAGAAAATGATAGAGAAGTCATGATTGATGATCTGTTACTTGGTGTGTGTAGAAGTTAGCTGTTCAGATGAAGCAGATAAACACAATCCAACTACCCAGATGTTTTTTGTTATAAGGCTTGATATATTTGGGCAACCCTAAGTAGCAATGAACTCTGCATAAAGTGAATGGCTGTGTGCAGTAAGCATCTATTGCTTTATTTCTGTCTAGCACACATTTCACTTTTTTCCAGTATTACCACATTGAGTTTGCTATGAGGAACTGTTTTAGTTCAGATTAGATTTAGCTGCATATAATGGAAACCCCACAAATAACAGTGGCTTATACTAGAAATGTGCCTACTTCTCTCTTACATAAAAGGAGTATAGAGGTAGTCAGTCTGATGCTGCTGTAGTGCTTCATGGTGTTAGGGACTCAACTTCACTCTATGCTGTTGTCCTGCCGTGGGTGGCTTACAGTCTCAAAGCCACTTGATGTCCAAGATGGGTGCTAGACCCATCTACTCCTGCATTCCAAGCAGCAGGAAAGAGGAAAGGGAGAAAAAGGCTTGCCCTCATCTTTAAGGATACTTCCCAGAGTTGTACACAGTAGCCCCCTCATATGTTCCATTGGCCAGAACATGGTCACACGGTGTAGAATGGTAAAATTGTAAGCTTTATTATAAAGGACTACATATGAAGTTAAAAATAGGATGAAAAGACAGAATATTGTGAATAATTAGCAGTCTCTGCCACAGAAGCTATCACCTCCCACTGGGTACAATCTTGTTAGATACGGGAGTGGGCAGTGACTTTAACCCAGCTAAGCCATGGTATTTGCCCATTTCTTCCATTTGTTTATGGTATATGAGCTGAGTGACCCACAGCTGACATGGAGGGTGTTCCTAAAGGACCATCCATGTGTTTCTAAAACTTGGAACCTCTTTTTTCTCATTCTATTCTATCAGGCTTTCCTTCAGTTTTTTTTTTTTTAATTATACTCTAAGTTCTAGGGTACATGTGCAAAATGTGCAGATCTGATACATAGGTATACACGTGCCATGTTGGTTTGCTGCACCCATCAGCTCATCATTTACATTAGGTATTTCTCCTAATGCTATCCGTCCCCCAGCCCCCAACCCCCTGATGTTCCCCGCCCTGTGTCCAAGTGATCTCATTGTTCAATTCCCACCTAGGAGTGAGAACATGTGGTGGTTGGTTTTCTGTCCTTGTGATAGTTTGCTGAGAATGATGGTTTCCAGCTTCAGTTTTGTGAATCACCCCATATTTCTTCTTAAGTCTGATTTTGTTTCTGTTATTTGCAAATAATTTTCTAACTGGCATATCATATTATTCAAATTAAAGGATTCATTGTTATTCCATAGATGAAAGAGTGCATTGATGGTTTTTAAGCAGATAGTGTTGTTATCAGATGTTTGCTTTGGAAATTTTTTTGAAAACTTGAAAATTGGATGAATTGAAAGGAGTTAAGATTAGAAGCAGAGAGAGTTCTAAAATTAGTGCATTAATGTAGATGAGAAGTGGTGATGGGTAGAGCTTAGCAATAGCAACGACAGAGTCAAAGGGCAGTATTTGAAAGATATTTGGGAAGTAGAATCAACAGAAATTAAAACATGTATCTGCGGACAAATGTATTTGTCGAAGATGAATCTGGTGTTTATAAAGACAGTTCTAAAAGTCTTCTAAAAGTAACTTCTTCAAAATCCTGAGCTGTTAAGTTACAAGAATATTCAGAAGGAATGTTTGAAAATGATTTTGGAAGAACTAGTCTACAGAAATGACAAGCCACAAAACAGCAGGAAATAAGTCAGTATTAGGAAGGATTGAAATACACAATTCAAAATCATTGCTCAGGATACAAATATGAGTAAAAAAAAAAGACTTTAAAAACTCCCAAATTTCTGTGGAGTGATTTGAAACAAAATTGGAGCTCAATTAGAGAAAGAATTGCCCATATTTGTTACTTCTCTTTCAAATTGTGTTTTACTGTTATATTTTGATTCTATTCACTCATTTTTATCATTACACAATAACCTACTTTAAAGAAAATCATGGTTATAACCTTTTTGCTAGATTGGCAAATACTTGAGCAATGTGGTTTAAGTGAAAATAAGTTAAATCTGCCATACTAAGAATTTGTTTTAGTTCTCGTCTAATCATTTCTTTTTAAATGTGTACTCCAAACTAATTTTCAGTATCTTGAACTCTTAGAAAACAGAATGGGTTTTCAAGAAGAGGGAGATTCCTGGTATTTGCTAAAAATTTGAGACATATCTCTCCCTAAATAGTCTTTTTGAATATACTCTTCCTGTTTCCTAAAGAAAGAAATAATGAAGAGAATATGGTTAGTATAGGCGATTGAGATGTGGAATTGGGTGAATTAATCTTTTTTATTTTCATTAACTAGTGAGGTAAGCAATGAATAAAGAGAAAAACATTGGAGTATAATTTATATATTTTATAAGTAGATTTAACTAGTATCTTTGAGGAAGAGCTATTTTTATTGTCTTAATATTAGAGGAAGATGAAGTTGTACATATAGGAATTAGAACACATTCATTGATTTTCTTTCTTCACTATAATGTTGTGTAATATAGTTTTATAGACAGGAACCTTGGATGGAGCATTTTTTTTCCCTTTCATCTTTTTGGAACTCAGCCATTGTAGCAACTAAGCTTTGAGATATTATTTAGTTTTCATGATAACGCTAATAATTAATAGCCAGTGTACAGCATTTATTATGTGGCAGGCACTGTTGTGCGTGCTTTACACATGTAATAATTCTAACGTCCTATGAGGTGGGTCCTGTTACTACCTCCATCGTGTAACTAAGCAAACTGAGGAATGAAGAGGTTATATAACTTGCACAAGGCTACATAACTAACTTTCAGAACCAGGATTCTAAGCCAGGCAGTCAGACTTCAGCCTATGGTCTTAATCACGCTGCTTTATAGATAGCATATATTGATGATGTCGACTTGAATCACCCAAAGAAGAAAACAGAGAAAGTCACTTCTCAATATGAGTACAATTGTCCCTCAGGATATGTGGGATATTGGGTATTGGTGCCAGGGAACACCCCCCACCCCGCCCCTGTGCATACTCAACTCCACACATACTCAAGTCCTCGCAGTTGACCTGTGCTATCTGAATATACAAAACAGTCGGCCGTTTATATATGCAAATTTTGCATCCTGTGAATGCTATATTTTCAATTCACATTTGATTGAAAAAAATATGCCTATGAATGGACTTGTATAGTTCAAACACCTGTTCAAGGGTCAACTGTGTTGAGTTGCAAAGTTAAATATCATTAAGATTTGCATGATTCTTACTATAGTCCATAACACTCCACATTTTCTTGTCCTAAGCCAGGTGTAAATGTCAACCTATTAAGTGTCACTTTAAGTTCAATTTTATGTGTTCTCTCCTGTTTATTATGCCAATTGTTTATGTTTTCAGTGTTATTTGTTTTAAATCATTCATAACTGATGATGAGTATTCTTCTCAATGGATATACTTTCTTATATGATTTTTGAAGTGAAAAAAAGAATTGACTGTAGATAGAGTAATGTGAAACTTAAAAGATATAAAGGAAGGGTTGAACTTCCTAAAATGAACTTCTACTTCATTGGTTCTACAGTGAGAGATCCCTTCTCAGGGCTGGGGAACCTCTTGCTGGTTGGTGTCCTGAAATATATCATTTCTATCACATTGTTCACTGAAAACTTACCTTGCTATTGTTATTCTTGTCTGTCTAAACCAGTTTTATGGTAGTTATATTTAATCTCCTTTATCTATATTTATTACATTTCTTATATATATATATTATTTTTCACTGGACTCATTTGCTTTTCAGGACAAGATTTCATGAACATACAGCCAGATTAAAGATGAGCTACATCTTTATTAATATTTCAATAATCACTGTATTGGAATTTATAGAAAGTTAAATACTGACCCAAAATATATTATGGCTTTTGTAGGAGTAGATGAAGAACTGTTATTTGAGTCTTATGATACAGAAATAAACTTGTAAAGCCTCAGTTTCCACATTTCTGAAATGGGCATAATTATTGTAATATTTCTCTCATAGAGGTAAAGTGTACAAGGATTAAAATGAGATAATCTGTATAAAGCATCAAGCACAATGCCTAGCAAGTACGTGCTTAATAAAGGTTGCTGCTATAATTATCACATATCTTTTAATTTTTACAAAAAAGGTTTATTAATCCTCATTTGCTGCTGAGGAAGTTAAAGCCTGAGGGCCTTAAATGTGTTGCCTAATGCCACATAGCTAATAGATAATGGACCAAGATTGGAATCCATAAAATTAATTTATTCATTATTTTAAACTGCTGAGTCCTACCGTGTGCCATGTCCTGGTTTGGGTTCCAGTGATAGGATGATGCAAGTGGGCTACATGAGCAAGGGTTTGGCAAGAACAATTGTGCAGAGAATTCCAATAGTCTGGTGTGCTGTTGGTGTGCAAAAGAAAATACAATTAGAGAGAGTGGTATGGGTCCTGGATTGCCCCTAATACATGCAGAAGTGGAGGCCACTCCCAAGCCTCCACCCCTGAGCTTTGACCTGCTGCCAACCCTCTTGTCTTCCTGCTCCTGCCTGGTCAAGCATCATGAGGAACACTCTTCTTATGGATGAACACCCCTGGCTGCACATCTGTCCCCTAGGGGCACACACTACAGGTAGCATGGTCCACACTTGAGAGGAAGGATTAAAAAAAGAGGTTCATGTTGGCCTTGGAAATGGACTCTGGGCCTACTGTGTGCTGGTATGTTTAACAACTAGCTCTCTGATTATAATTCCTACGTGGTTGACATATGGCACAGTGGTTGATATGTTTATTTATGTTGATGAGCAAGTGAAAGTGAAACAAGCAAATAGAACTTCGCTTGTTAATTAATGAGGAGTGCAACTATTACGCTAAATTGTGTAATAGTTTTTAAATACTGGAGGAATGTTTTCTCATTTTTTGTATTAATACATACATGTAAAAGCTACAGACATGACACATTTTAAAGATTAATTGGTTTTATTAATATTTTCTCCATCACTTTCTTCTGCCTAGACAATGAAGAAAAAATAAATCCAGCCCTGACTTACAGTATTTGCTGATTTATATGGTGTATATACTCACACTAAAGCCAATTTCCAGTTACTAACATGATGTCATTGAATGCAGAGCTGGGAAGAGATGCATAGTCGCACACCATTGTCTAGTATTGCCACCATACAGATGCAACAGGCATAAATAACAAGTACATAAATAATAGTAAAATAGTTAGAAACTGATGAGTTTTAAATGCTAATTACCTTTGTTTTCAATATAACTGATTTAAGTTCATGTAATTTATTTTTAATAATGGTCATGTCTAACATCCAGCTTTCAAAATTTCTGAAAATATAACAATGGACTTTTGTGAACCAGTAGGAGTGCCTCCAGAACACCATTGTCTGAGCTGTTTGGTCATGGGATTTGTGTTCTTGGGTGTACAGAGCATTGTTTAATGGGGTGGAGGAATGTGTGGGCTCCCGGTGGGCATACCCCTTGGATACTTTATCCCTTGGGGAGACAGACAGCTGAAGAGGTAAAGAGAGATTCTTCAAAGCCCAGGGCCAGGTGGGGACCCTGTTTCCTCACAGAAAAGGACGGTTCTGGAGCCAGATCACAGAGTGCCTTTTAGTTTGCCTTCTATGCTTCTCAAGCAGTGTCAGATGTTCCTTGGTTGGGTGAATCTGAAAGTAGAATGCATTTTGATATGACATCAGTTTTACTCAGGAATTTGAGAGGAAAATCCACTATTTTTCTATTAAGATAAAGAATGTATCATGGAATGATATGAAAAATTTGCATTTGCTTTTCAAAGGTAGTGACACAGAACATAAATTTCATGCTCAGGGTGGTGTATTTCTGGATACCTCTGGAAGATTCTATCATTCTCCACTGCTATTTTGGGGCCTTCTGTGGACGTTGAGGCCTGTTGTGGAAGCTGGCTCCAGCAAACTACCGTTTGGGCTATTGGAGCACAGGATTCTGAGTTCTTGGGGATCCTCGACAAAGAGTTGATGAATCTTGAAGGAATTTAAGTTCTGAAAGATCTGTGAGAGCAGAGAGGGTAGAGACCTTTACTCAGGTCCGTCATTAATGGGCATGCAAGCTGTCCCTCACAAAAGCATCCAGCCAAGATGGTGGAAATGCATGCTAAAATCCAGCGGGCACACTCTTACCAACTTTGCCAACATAGAGCTGTTGGGTCTGTCTGCCCATGTGGTGTGCTTTTGTGTTAACTGTTCCCGAGGAGCATCTTTATGTTAAGTCATCTTCCACAAGGGGGTGCCATTTCCCAATTTGTCTGCCTGGGAATGGCTCTGTTTTCTCAAGCACAAAGGCACCCTATGTACTACTGTGCTAGCATGTGCTGCAGCTGGATTTTTTTGTTACTAATGCCGAGTGCCAACCTTAGAGCCTGGCATCAAAGAGGCTCTCGTTTGCTGAATGAGTGAATAGGTGTAATGCCATGGTGAGATTCATATTTCAAATAGATCTTTCTTGGCAAGCTGTGTAGAAGGTGACTTGAGCTTGCTGGAGCTGCTCTAACAAAATACCACAAACTGAGTGTCTTAAACAACAGAAATTCATTGTCCCACAGTTTTGGTGGCTAGAAATCCTAGGTTAAGGTGTCAGCAAGGTAATGCATCTCCTGAAGACTCTAAGGAAGGATCCGCCTCAGGCTTCCCTCTTAGCTTCTGGTAGTTCCTTGGTGTAAGGCAGGATAACTTCAGTTTCACATGGTGTTCTCTGTGTGTATGTGTGTGTCTGTATCCAAATTGTCTGCTTTTTAAGGATGCCAGTGATACTGGATTAGGGGCCCAGCCTACTCCAATATGACCTCATCTTAATTAATTACATCTGCAATGACTTTATTTCCAAATGTGGCATATTTCTAAATAAATTCACATTCTGGGGACTAGGACTTCAATGTTTAGGTTTTTGAGGGACTCATACCCATAAGAGATGGATTCAGAGGAGACCAAATGAGAAGCAAGAAGACAAGTCTAAATGAAAGATGCTGTGGTCCTGGAATTGAATAATCAGATTTTGGGTAGAGACAAGGATCTTTGCATTCTAAAATCAGCAATATATTTATTCATAGATGAGTATTAATTAGGAGGCTGTTTTCATTACAAATTGTACATTATCCATTACTGTGTAACAAATTACCTCAAAATTTAGTGGCTTAGAAAGCAGCATTTATGATCTCACAGTTTCTGTGGGTTAGCAATCCGAATGCAGTTTAGCTAGGTTATCTGGCTCTGTGTTTCTCATGAGGCTGCAATCAAGGTATTGGCAGGGGCTGCAGTCATCTCGGTTCACCATTGGGGGTGGGGCCACTTCCAAGTTACTAATGTGGTTGTTCACAGAATTCAGTTCCTCGTGGGTTGTTGGGCTGAGGGCTTCAGTTTCTTGCTGGCATTGGCTGGAGGCTGCCCTGAGTCCTTTGCCATGTGATCCTCTCCATACGGCAAATTACCCTCAAAACTCAAACTCACAACACAACAGCTGGCTTCAAGAGAGTGAACAGGCTAGAATAACAAGACAGAGCGTAAGGGAGGAATCACAGTCTTGTCTAACTCAATCTTAGAATTGGCCTCCCGTTACTTTTGTCATATTTTATTCAATAGAAGCATATTACCAGGCTCAGGTGACACTCAAAAGGAGAGGATTACAGAAGGGTGTGAATACCAGTAGGCAGGGGGACATCACTGGGGGCCCGCTTAGAAAGGCTACCCACACACAGGCTTGATTGTTTATGTAAGGATTTGCACTTGAAGTAGATGCTCAACTTTTAAAAAATATTTTAATTGACAATCAAAAATTATATATACAGTATTTATGGTATACAACATGATGTATGTATATATATATGTATATACTTATATATATACACACACATTGTGGAATGGCTAAATTATGCTACTTAACATATGCATTACCTCACATACTTTTTTGTGATGAGAACACTTACAATTTACTCTCTTAGCAATTTTTAAATATGTTTCTGTCAGTCATCTTGGATGTTATTTCTTTAATCCCATTAAAGCAATAGAAAGCCTCTTGCACTGGTTTAATTCTCGGTGAGTGCATGCTACACCACATCTCTTCTGCATCACCCTGGACCACTGGTGAGGCAGTTAATCGCTTTGATCCCTGACAGTGGCCTTGATCTTTTACATCTGGGAGTCTTGCTATTTGAGCAACTCTCTAATTGATTCAGGCCATCTTTCCTTTTTTCTGGTGTGAAATATTTTAAAAAGATTATTCTAGAAGCTGTTATAAATCTTAACTGAGGTAAGTATACTGAGGGTGTTAAATCTCTGTTTGCCCTACTCTTCTTATTAGAGAAGCTAGGACTTCTTTCCCAGATAGAGTAATTTCACAATAGAGACAAAAGCTTGGAATGCTTCATATCAAATCTGTGGTAGTTAATATACTATTTTCTTAAATTAAAAAATGCATTTAAGTGTGCTCCAATCTATAGGCATTCTTTTGAGACCTACATACCCAGAAATATGTTGGTACTTTGATGGATATAGATGGCCATGAAAATAACCATATGAATTTTCTGGAATTTTTCTTTACTTGAAATCATTTGTTTTTACATTTTCTCTGAGTTGGAAATATTTTGTTTAGTAGAGCTCTTTTTTTGCTAATAGATTTTTTTTCCAGTAAGATATGGTATATGGTAAGTTTGATTTTTTGTTTCCCTATTTCATGGTTAATGGATTTTGCTTTTTCAAGCTGAATTGTATGTCTTTCCCCTCTGACATGTTTCTAGCTTGAGGGAATGTAGTCTCCCTCTGGTCCATTAATATTAGCAATTGTAAGTGATGTAATCCTGTTTCATTTCTACTGTGGATTTTATACCGTAGTTGTAATTTCTCATACATAAAGTTGAATTTAGCTAAGCATGCATTTCTGCCATTTTTCCTATGAATATCTTTGCATTCCTAGAAATATTAACCATATATATCAGAAATTCATTTGCTCATACAAATATTCTGAATCATCATAGAAATACATGGTTTCATTTCTAAACTGCCTGACTATTTTATTGCCTTTATTAGACAAATAGATGTTCTCTATGCTTCTGAAAATGTTAAGCATTACATGGCAATCTTGAAAGGAATATCACCAGCAATGCTGTTATCAGAGGGACTTTATTTGATGCCTTTGGGACTTTATTGATGCCTTGAGTATGAACATGGTTTGATTTTTCTTCCTTCTGTTTTATCTCTAGTAAAAAGGATTCCTTTAAAAGTTAGTTGGCATGCTTTTAGGTCCCTTTGCCTTTTTTTGGGCGGGGGGGTGGTGTGGCTTATAGACAAATACACATCCTTACAGTGTTCAGAGCAGTAGACCCTACTGACTTTACACTGAGGCCTAACAACATCTGTTTTTTGTTGAGGATGATGATTTGTGACTGTAACTAATTGCATTTGCAATTCTTGTCAAAGAAGACCAAGACATGTGGCCTTGGGATTGACTTTGGTGCAGTAAAAAGAGCATGGACTTCGAAGTGAGAAAATCTGATTAGGTCTTGCCCTGTTATTTCCTAAATATATAACTATAAATGAGTCACTTCTTTGAGACCTAGTTGCCTCATCTGTAAATTGGGAACAGATATCATGCGTTTCTCATGCATAGCTGTTAATTACAAACCAGAATATGCTTGTCCTTACATAGATCTAAAAGTTCATAAAATAAAAGAGATACTGGATTCAAGTCTGTGATATCATTCCTTTTCTTCGATTGATAAAATGATACCATTTTATGTGCCATTTTCCATATTCCATATACTTTTTTCTTTAAAACTACAATTTACTCCTTCCTCTAACCAACTTTCCTCAACAAACACATATGCTAGCATCACTTTTTCCCATCCTGTCTCTGCATATATTCTTGCTGAACTTACTGAGTTTTTAAAATGTATTATTAATTGCTTTATGATGTATTCAATCTTGTACCTTTCAACATGCCAGGAGACAGAGACGATTGGCACAACCTTTCCTTCTTAAACATCCCTCCCCATTTGGTGGACGGTCATGCCTGGAGCAAAGTAGGAAACATAACCAGGATGACAGCAGTAATGGCGATGATAGCTCCCACACATCTCTCTGTTGCAAGCCATCTACGTATTATATATCTCAATATATTAGTTACATAATGTAATATAGAACATAATATATTATAATCTTCTTTTTGTAAGAAACTGAGACTCAGGTAGGTTAAACAGCTTGTCCAAGGACATATACTGGTAAGTGGCAGAGTAACAGATTGATACCAAAGTCAGTGTTTTAAACCAGTGACTGCCTATGCTGATGTATAGGCCCCTAATTCCAGAAGGTGGTTGGGATGGCTTGTTCTACTTGTCTAGCTTTTGATCTTCTAGGTACTGAACTCCCTTCCTGAATTGCTTATGGAAAATGAGGCTTGATAGAAAAAATAGGGGTACAGATATATTCTAAAGATTAAGACTGGGTGTGTTTTCATAATATGTGAATGGATATTAACAAATAATTTGATACTCCAGTTAAGGGAGGACATGGCAAAAACTCATAACATCCCTAGCGGTTTGGCTTAGCAAGGGAGAAAAACATTCATTTAAAAATCTCACAGGTGAAATTACTCTGAAAGACAGGCTCATGGTCAATGTTACTATGAGTGTCTATAGTAAAAGAATCCAAACCTAGCCAGGTAGAACTAGCCAATTGCATACAATTGACTGTGAACTTGAAGGAAAAATTGTAGCAAAAATCTTTAAATGTGTTTGAGTTTCTGTCATACACACCTTGTTCAACACACGGGAGAGCTGGAGAAAAGGGTTAGAAAAAATTCTAAGCTTCTTCGGGTTTTACAGACAAAATACTTCACAAACTGCAATAAATTCTTAGATAAGAGTGAAGCTCTGGGAAGTAAGCATCTTTCCTGCTTGTGATAATCAGGTGTGCTGAAGAAACAAATGAGGTTAACAGCAATGAAAGTAATGGATGTCCCACAGGGTTAAATGGGGTCATATATTGGTCTGCAAAATTAGTTCCGCCATGTTACGAAAGTTTATATTACAGAATATCCAGAACTAAAAGTGTTCTTTATCACAAATGGTGCAGAAACTATTTCTCTGATGGATCCATGGAAAATTCTGACTGGGTGTCCAAGCAGTTGCAAGAGAGCAGCTCCCTTTTAACATACAGAGATGTACTCAACTGGCAGCCATAATAGAGAAAGCAGTACAATGCCTAGAAAGATTCATGGAGAAATTATGAAAGAGGCATTTGTTGCATCTCTCCTTTCCTATCCTGTCCTGTTGATTTTGCCTCTTCAGTATCTCTAGAGTCCCTGAGCCTCTCTTTATCTCCATCACTACCACCTGGTCCAAGCTGCTACTATCTCTCCATTGGACTATGGCAACATCTTTATAATTGGTTTCCATTCTTAGTGTCTTTCCAATTCATGCTCTAAATTAGAACCTTCTTTCCTAAAGCCCATCAATATCTTTCCATTGCACTTAAAGAACAAACACTTAAGATAGACATATAGCTAGGCACATTCTGGACACGTCTTTTCTCTGAAGTTTATCTTGCATCTTCTTTATTCTCTTCATCCTAGCTATTGCTGTGGACTCAATACACTCTTTTGTACCATAGAGTTTTGCACATATGCTTCTCCTGACTCATTTGCTTACCAGCTTAACTCATTCTTCTTCTGCAGATGTTGGCTCAGGGAAGTTTTCTCTGATCTTCCTGACTAGGTCAGATTATTTTAGTATAGACTCTTATAATGTTGACCATGAGCCTTTCAGAGTAATTTCACCTTTGTGCAATTTTTAAATGAACGTTTGTCTCCTCTGCTTAGTCATAACAGGGTTGTTGTCAATTTTTCCTTGCTTTTGTAAATTCCAGAATCCAGTAGATATTCGTTAAGCTTAAATTGAATGATTGACTGAGTGAATCAGCATATCAGCTTTGGAATTTGTTGGGAGAGAAAAAAAAAAAGATTTGGCCAGCATTTTCTTAATTGTGTCTGTTTTACCTACTTAGAATATTATGGATGCAGATAGAAACAATTCGTTGATCACCAGAATGCCTTCTCTGTCAATGTGTGAATTCTTGTATAGATCACCTGACCTCATCATTTAAAAAAATTCAACAGCGTCATTTATTAGAAACCCATCTGAGTGGTATATGGAAATGGTGGTGCCTGGCTGTGATACCCACTTCCCCATTTTTATATGAAATATACTTTTTTAAGATGAAGACAGTTACTTTTGTACTGAATAATACTTTTGAATATCTGTTTAAAATATAATCTAGTAATTATAAGCTTCCTATATAGATCTGGGCTAGGCAGTTTGTGTGCCACTGTTATCAATTTCTGTGTTGTTATAAGTTACTAGAAAGATGTTCATAAAGTTTAGGGTTCATTGCATAGATTTCCTTTGAACACTGATTCTTATCAAATGTTTATCGATGCTCTATTATGACGTTTTTGAGGGTTTTCTGTGTGGTTTTATAAATGATTGCTAAGAATTCTATTAACTATGGCCTTTTAACAATGATAAATTGTTCCTCTGGGAATCTTGCAGAAAATTATACTGTTTGGGCAGCCTATTTTAAAGATCGAATTATAATGCCTTTAAATTGAGACAAAGTACTTGTCTCTGAGAAAATTTGACAGAATTTGTACCTCTTCTGTACTTTTTTTTTTTTACTTTTTAAAAAAGTAGTATGTGTTTCTGCTTCTTTTTTAAAAAAATTACCCAATACAACCATGAATACAATTGTTTAATTTTTCCAGTTTGGAACTAGGACTTGTTTTTCCCCCACACTTGTAGATTTGTCTTGTGGACATAGAAAAATGGAATATAAATTAAATTTTATTTAAAATGTATTGGTCAGATTAAAAATACATTGACATTCAAAATTATGTTCACAAAAATGACCTAGCAAGGCAGTGAGCAGAAAGAGCAAACAGTCGGGAGTTTTGTAAAACAAAACTGAAGTGTTTAATCTGTGATCACTCATTCACTTATTCAGATAGAAGCATTTGTAGTAGATTGATACACAGAATATACAAGAAGCTCATGGAAACCAGAAAGGAATATACAGGAAATATGGAAGAAAAGTGGTTGAAGGATATTAACGGGCAATTTATAGAAGAGGCTATTTGAATGAAAAATAAAAGTAAAAAATATAGTAAAAGATAATGACAGCTAACATTTTCTTGTCACAGATTTTATTCTCGGTAGCTGATTTTTAAATCATTTAATCACAAGAGAAGTACTAGTCATTCCTACTTTACAAAGGAGGTAAAAGATTCATGCACCTGGGATCCAAACAAAACTGCTCTGAGTCACAGAGCAGTTAATATACTCATGACTACTTGGATATAAATGGAAATCTGTTTTAGAACCACTTACGTGTATATGGATACTCATCTCACTAATTATCAGAAAAATATATATTAAAATAATAACAAAATATACCTTACCACAATCAAATTTGCAAAAGTGGGAGATTCTGATACTTACAAATGCTGGGGAGAATGTGAAGACAAGGGGAGACCTCTTCTACTATTGATGGGTGTGTAAAATGGTGTGGCCATTTCAGAGAGCTTCTTGTAGATCTTATGGAAATTGAGTATGCTAATCCTGATGTCATGGCAGTTCAGCTCTTGGGCATGTGGCAGAGAGAAAGTCTCAAGATGATGCACATGGAGACGTGCACTTGGATGCTTATTACATCAATGTTGGGATGTGGTAAGTTGAAGTACCATAGGTGTCCTTTTCTAGAGAAATGGATACCTTGTTATATTCATAGGATGGTATACTATGGAATACTTAAAAGAAATTCACTAGATTTTACATGTAGAAATGTGATAGATCTCAAAATTAGTCAAATGAACAAATAATAAAAGTAAAGAAGAAAATGACATTATAACATAATACCATTTATTTAAAAAATCTAAAATACACACAAAATGCAATGTGTTTTTCTGGATATTGTTACATGTAAAAAAAAGATATGTTTGATGAATAGAAAGTACATGAGAGTAGTTACTAATAAGGAGAGAAGAGTGGTCTTGGGAATAGGGAATAAAAGGGAAAACAGTAGTAAGAATAAAAATCTGAAACAGAAGAGGAAACTTTCACAGACCACTGGTAAAAGTATAGCATAGCATGATCTTAATGGGCAGAAATTTAGTTTTATTTATTGCTGTATCCTGAGTGCCTAAATCAGTGCCTAGGGCATAGCAGGTGTTCTAATAAGTAAAATGGGAATGAAAAATGAATATATAAATTAAGGATGATCAACTCAGATCCCTGCATCTGAGATTCAAACAAAACTAGTGCCTGATGCCCTTTTCCCAATTTCTTATTTTATATTTATAATAATTTTGTAAAATAAATTATTTTAAATAATTTTAAAATATATATGTAAAATATATACCGATTTTCTTATTTTATAATTATGTATACATAAAATATATATAATATATAATATGCATATACATGGTTATCTCTGTGTGTGTGTATGTGTGTATGTATGTGTAGGCACTACGCCAATTGTCTAGCTAGAAGTGCAAAAGTGAATCAAATACATTCTTTGCCCAGAGGAGCTGTAATCTATTTGGGGAGATTGAGTGAAAAACTGTTAATCATGTCAAATGTGATAAGTACTATGAGATAGGAATTTGCAGAGTAGAGTGGAAGCATAGAGGAAGAATTACTAAATGGTTATTCATTCATTCAGTCATTTGGCCAATATTGATTAAGTTCCTGCTTTGTGTCAATTCCTCTTCTAGGTGTGGTGAATACAACGTGGGACCTCTTAGTCTCCTGGGGAGAATAATCTTATTCAAATAATCACACAACAAAAGGGAAGGTGCAAAATTGCTATTGTGCCAAGTATTCGTTATGAAAAATTAGGAAAAAAGCCTTGACCTATATTTGGGTTCCAAGGATGGTTTCTCTGAAATAGGGGTGAGAAATTTGAAGGATAGTAAAAGTTAATTCAGAAGTGGTTGGGGTTTATGGAGAGTTGTAGTTAGAGAAGGTGTTCAAGATTAAACAAAGAGTGCATGCATAGCTGGTTAGACTTACCATGCATACCTTGTAGGCTCTTTTCCTCAGAGCAAATAAAGGTTTCAAGATGGAGGCTACATGGTAAAATTGCCTTCTAAAAAGAACCTTCAAAACCCAAGAGGACGACCTAGGCAATACCATTCTGGACATAAGAACTGGCAAAGATTTCATGACAAAGACACCAAAACAATCACCACAAAAGCAAAAATTGACAAATGGGAACTAATTAAACTTAAGAGCTTCTGCACAGCAAAAGAAACTATCAACATAGTAAACAGACAACCTACAGAATGGGAGAAAATATTTGCAAACTATTCATCTGACAAAATTCTAATATCCAGTATCTACAAGGAACTTAAACAAATTTACAAGAGAAAACAACCCCATTAAAAAGAGGGCATAGAACATGAACACACACTTTTCAAAAGAAGACAGACATGTGGCCCACAAGCATATATAAATAAGCTCAATATCATTGATCATTAGAGAAATGCAAATCAAAACCATATTGAGAAACCATCTCACACCAGCCAGAATAGCTATTACTAAAAAGTCAGAAAATAACAGATGCTGGTGAAGTTGCAGAGAAAAGGGAATGCTTATACAGTGTTGATGGGATAACCATTGTAGAAAGCAGTGTGGCAGTTCCTCAAAGAGCTAAAAACAGAACCACCATTCAATCCAGCAATCCCATTACTGGGTATATACCCAAAGTAATGTAAATTGTTCTACCATAAAGACACATGCAAGAGAATGTTCATTGCAGCACTATTCACAATAGAAAAGACATGGGATCAATCTAAATGCCCATCAATAGTATACTGGATAGAGAGAATGTAGTACATACACACTATGGTATATTACACAGCCATAAAAACAATGAGATCTTGTCCTTTGCAGGAACATGGATGGAGCTGGAGGCCATCATCTTTAGCAAACTAATGCAGGAACACAAAACCAAATACCACATCTTCTCACTTATAAGTGGGAATGGTAAGAACACATGGACACAGAGAGGGGAACAACAGACAACGGGGTCTACTTGAGGGTGGAGGGTGGGAGAAGGAAGAAGAGGAGAAAAGATAACTAATGGGTACTAGACTTAGTACCTGGTTGACAAAATAATATGTACAGCAAACCCCTGTGACACGAGTTTACCTATATAACAAACCTGCACATGTAGCCCTGAACCTAAAATAAAAGTTAAAAAAAAAAAGAATCTTCTGGCTACTTTGTGAAAAGTGGATGTAGAGGGGAAGGAATGGATGTGAGAAGTTATGTGGTTTACAGCAATCTATGTGAAAGATGAAGTCATTTGACTAGGATTGTAGTGGATGCGGAGAAAAATGATAGATTAAAAATTTGTTAAAGAGGTAAAATTAAAAGGGCTTGTGATGGATTGGATTTGGGATGGTTTGGTGAGGTAGAGGGAGAGGTCAAGAATGACCTGAGCAGGATAAGTAAAACAAAGCCACATTTGGAAACATCATGGTGAAACTATGAAACTCCAAGCACAAAGAGAAAACTTACCTGTGAGCCAGAGATCATTTTGTTAGGTTGATAATGACATTGTGGTTACATAAGAAAATATCTATATTTTCGGAAATGCATATAGTATGGATAAAATGACATAATGCCTGTGATTTCCTTTAGACAATTCAGCAAAATAGATGAAGCAAATTCTTCATAGTTGTTTAATCTGTATTCAGTTCTCTCTGCTTTTATGTATACTTAAAACTTTCCAGGTTTAAATAAAGCAACCAGAGAGAACCCAAAGCAATTTACAGATTCAATTCTATTCCTATCAAACTACCAACAGCATTCTTCACAGAACTAGAAAATATTATTTTAAAATTCATTTGGAACCAAAGAAAGACACTGAATAGCCAAGGCAATCCTAAGCAATAACTATTACTTACAAAATTCATCAATTACTAGTCCATGAAAAATACTCAAAAAATACCAAGATGTTTTTACTTGTTCATTCTATGTATTTGCTACTTTGTATATTTTGACCTACATCTATTCATTTTTCTCCCCTACCTCAACCCTGGTAACCACTGTTATATATCTCTATATATTTAACTCAAAAAATTTTCCACATGTAAGTGATATTAAGCAATATTGTTCTTTCTGTGTCTGGCTTATTTCCCTTAGCATAATGTTCTCTAGATCCATCCATGTTGTGACAAATGGCAGGATCTCCTCCTTTTTAAAGACTGAATAATATTTCAGTGTATACATGCTACAGTTTCTTTATGCATTCATCCATTGATGGACACCTAGGTTGTTTCCATATCTTGGCTATTGTGAATAGTGCTGCAATGACCATTAGAGTGTAAATATTACTTGATATTCTTCTAAACAAGTAGATTATAGTAGCTCTTGTCAAAGGGGAAAAATGGGTAACTGTGAAATGACGGCTATGTTACTTTATTCTGCTATAGTAACTATTTTACTGTAATAATGATGTATCTTACAACATCATGTATACCTTAAATATATACAATAAAATGTATTTAAAAAAAGAAATACCAAGAATCAGTATCAAAGAGACCATGCTTTTGGCAATAAAGTTAGATCTCAACAAAAAAAAGACAACTGAAAAATTATGGCATTAGAAAGTTAAAAAAAATTCTAAATAATTTATGAATCAAATGGAAAGTTGTGAAATATTTAAAAATTAATGAAAAATAAGAACACTGCTGATTCAATTTTGTGGATTGCAACTGAAACAGTACTTAGGAGGGATTGATAACCTATAAGGAGATAGTGTAAAAGGTTTTCTTTACAACATGAATGGTTTAAAATTATCAGATGACCACTTTATTGAAGAGTTTAGAGAAATAGCAGAATACAGTTGACTCTTGAACATGGGTTTGACCTGCACAGGTCCCCTTATACATGAATTTTCTTCCACCTCTCCCAACCCTGGGACAGCAAGAGCAACCCCTCCTCTTTCTTCTCCTCCTCAGTTTACTCAGCAAGAAGACAATGAGTATGAAAGACCTTTATGATGATCCACTGCCACTAAATAAATAGTAAATATATTTCTATTCCTCATGATTTTAATAACATTTTCTTTTGTCTACCTTGCTTTATTGTAAGAATACAGTATAGAATACACATGACATACAACATTTGTGTTAATCAACTGTGTTATCAGTGAGGTGGTCGACAGTAGGCTATTAGTAGTTAAGTTTTGGGGTAGTTAAAAGTTCTACATGGGTTTTCTATTGCGTGGGGTCAGCGCCTCTAACCCGCACATTGTTCAAGGATCAACTGTATAGTGAAATAAGGGAGAAAATAATTAAGATAAGATTAGACATTAATGAAATAAAAGCTAAAGGAATACTAAAAAGGCTCAGCCAAGCCAAAAGAGAGTTATTTGAAAAGACTACGTGACCTACCTCTGACAATCTTAATGGAAAAAGAGAAAAGGTACAAATATTATTAGAATTGAATGTAATTGCAGGTAAGGGAGAGATTTTAGAAATAGTATTATGAAGAATTTCATGCTCATACTTATAAAACTTAGATGAAATGCATAATTTTTAAGAAAACAATAAGCTATCAAGAACCTTAAAGATACTGAATCAGTTGTCAAAACTCTAACCACTGCCCCCTCCACAAAAAAGGGCCACCAGGTTCACACAGTTTTATAGGCATGTTTAGGTATGTTTCACTCACTCTTTAGGAAAAGTTAAATTTTGTCTTAAACAAAACAAGAGAGTTTCCTAACATGACTAAGTAGGTGTACCCCACCCCCACCTCCCCAAGAAAGCAAATAATTTAACACTAGACAAGTTATTACTATAATTCATTACCTTAACAGATCACAAGAAAAAAAAACATATCTGAAGAGAGGTGAAGAAAGCCTTCGAAAAATCCAACATTATTCATGATACAATTCTTGGCAAACAATGAATTGAAGGGAACTTCCTTATCTTGCAAGCAAGAATTATGGTTGGTAGTGAAACAGTAGAAGCATTCCAAATAAAGTCAGAAATAAGATAAGGGTACCATCTTTCATGGCTCCTATTTGGCATTATTCTAGAAATCCTTACTGAGACAAGCCAATACAAAACAACACAGAAAAACTATTTGAATTAATTGAGAAAGTTGACTTGTTTCAAAGTCACTTTAGAAAAATCAATAGGTAGCTAATATCAGAAACAATAGATTAGAAATAGGATTTTTCAAATCCCATTTATGGTAACAACAAACCATAAAGTATCTAAACGCAAATCTAATAGAAGTTGCGCAAGGCTTATGTGGAGGAAATCGTAAAACTTAGAAGTGGGGCAAAGACTGAAATAATCAAGAGATATTATTCCAAGGGGATAAATGCTAAGATCTAATATTTTGAAGGTGTCAAGTTGACATGCAAATACAGTGCAGTGCTAGCAACATTTACAATAAGACTTTGTGTATAAGTGTGGAAAATTATCCTGATATTCATACAAAATAATAAGGACATTTTGAAAAAGAAAAAGGAAAGGGTATTGGTCTTACAAGGCTTCAGGATTTATTGCTTAGTTTTATTGATTACAGAATGTGGTATTGGCACGGTGAGAGACTGACTAGCCAATAGGAGACTATGAAGAGGCCAGTATAGATGAGAACTTGGTATATGCGAGAAGGGCATTATAAGTCAGTGGAAAGGCAAGATAATTCAATAAATAGTACGGAGACAATTGATTATC
Organism: Homo sapiens; assembly: GCF_000001405.40. Taxonomy (NCBI): domain Eukaryota; kingdom Metazoa; phylum Chordata; class Mammalia; order Primates; family Hominidae; genus Homo; species Homo sapiens. Next base: position 72,360,044 of record NC_000012.12, read on the forward strand.
CACACAGAAAAAATAAAATGAGATCCCTATTTCACAGCACTCACACAATACATTCCACATGAATGGAAGGCCTGACTTTGAAAAACAAAAGTCTTAAACTTTTAGAAGAAAACAAAGAACATTTTGACCTTGAGGGCAATGAATGATTTCATTAAAAAGACCCAGAAAGTACAAACCCTAAAGAGAACATTTGATATTTGACTACATCCAAAGTAAAAAATTCTATTTGATCAAGGCCATAATGTGCAAGGCTGTCATAGACTGGGAGATTTTTGCAAATTGCACATTGGCAAATGATTACTATCCAGGATATACAGGAATTTCTACAAATCATAAGAAAAAGATAAATGATCCACTGGTAGAATAGACAGGTAAAATAGGCAGTTTGCAGAACAAGGCAGTTTGCAGAAGAGAAAAAAATTGAGAGTCAATAAACATATAAAATGATGCTCAACCTCACTATTATCAGAAATATGCAAATTACAACTAACCGTGGAACACTATTTCATACCCATTGTTTAACAAAAATCTCAAAATAGAATTTTGGTGAGGATGTGGGGAAGCAGGGCTTGTACTGGTAAGATGTAAATTGGTACAAGTCTTTTGAAGAGAAATGGATAATACAGAGTAAAACTGAGTAAAAAATATAAAATGAATTGAAAATATATTGTACAGTTGATTGTGAAAGCCAATACTTCATGACCATGGGTAATTCTAGAGCAGGAGGGATGGGAATCGGATGAAGGGAGTGTTTTGCAGTTATGATAATTTACATATTTTAAAATTTAATGTAATTTTAAGTTCTGGGATACATGTGCAGGATATGGAGGTTTGTTACATAGGTAAACGTGTGCTGGGGTGGTTTGCTGCACCTATCAACCCATCACCTAGGTATTAAAACCTGCATACATTAGTTATTTATCCTGATGCTCTCCCTCCCCCTATCCCCACCTCAGGCCCCAGTGTGTATTGTTCCCTCCCTGTGTCCATATGTTCTCATTGTTCGGCTCCCACTTATAAGTGAGAACATGTGGTGTCTGGTTTTCTGTTCCTGCGCTAGTTTGCTGAGGATAATTTGTGTATATTAGTGTCTGTTTCTCCTTTTACTTCTTTGTTAATTCTTCTGTGGAATTGCTCTTTAAAGCTTTTTTTTGTGCCCTTCACACCGTTTAGAAGAACATTGACTTTACCATGTTAAATAAAATCCCATGGGATTTATTCAGGTGTTTTGTTAAAACTATATGCTTTGGAGGTGAAAATCCAGATATTTTAACAAAGTTAATGTGTCAAGCTGAATAAAAGATTGGATTTTATGCTTGGACATGCATTATGTATAAAATGCCAATAGTAATATTTGATACATTTGTTGGAAAGATGCAATAAAGTGTAAAAGATAAAAAATATCCAAAGCCTATGTGAAAAAATATCAACATTAAATCTGTTTCAGATATAAGAGTAATGTTAGATTATTCTTTGTACTTTTCTATATGAGTAGGTGTTTTATAATTTATTTTTTTTTTATTTTATTATTATTATACTTTAAGTTTTAGGGTACACGTGCACAATGTGCAGGTTAGTTACATATGTATACATGTGCCATGCTGGTGTGCTGCACCCATTAACTCGTCATTTAGCATTAGGTGTATCTCCTAAAACTATCCCTCCCACCTCCCCCCACCCCACAACAGTCCCCAGAGTGTGATGTTCCCCTTCCTGTGTCCATGTGATCTCATTGTTCAATTCCCACCTATGAGTGAGAATATGCAGTGTTTGGTTTTTTGTTCTTGCAATAGTTTACTGAGAATGATGATTTCCAATTTCATCCATGTCCCTACAAAGGACATGAACTCATCATTTTCTATGGCTGCATAGTATTCCATGGTGTATATGTGCCACATTTTCTTAATCCAGTCTATCATTGTTGGATATTTGGGTTGGTTCCAAGTCTTTGCTATTGTGAATAGTGCTGCAATAAACATACGTGTGCATGTGTCTTTATAGCAGCATGATTTATAGTCCTTTGGGTATATACCCAGTAATGGGATGGCTGGGTCAAATGGTATTTCTAGTCCTAGATCCCTGAGGAATCGCCACACTGACTTCCACAATGGTTGAACTAGTTTACAGTCCCACCAACAGTGTAAAAGTGTTCCTATTTCTCCACATCCTCTCCAGCACCTGTTGTTTCCTGACTTTTTAATGATTGCCATTCTAACTGGTGTGAGATGGTATCTCATTGTGGTTTTCATTCGCATTTCTCTGATGGCCAGTGATGGTGAGCATTTTTTCATGTGTTTTTTGGCTGCATAAATGTCTTCTTTTGAGAAGTGTCTGTTCATGTCCTTTGCCCACTTTTTGATGGGGTTGTTTGTTTTTTTCTTGTAAATTTGTTTGAGTTCATTGTAGATTCTGGATACTAGCCCTTTGTCAGATGAGTAGGTTGCGAAATTTTTCTCCCATTTTGTAGGTTGCCTGTTCACTCTGATGGTAGTTTCTTTTGCTGTGCAGAAGCTCTTTAGTTTAATTAGATCCCATTTGTCAATTTTGGCTTTTGTTGCCATTGCTTTTGGTGTTTTAGACATGAAGTCCTTGCCCATGCCTATGTCCTGAATGGTAATGCCTAGGTTTTCTTCTAGGGTTTTTATGGTTTTAGGTCTAACGTTTAAGTCTGTAATCCATCTTGAATTAATTTTTGTATAAGGTGTAAGGAAGAGATCCAGTTTCAGCTTTCTACATATGGCTAGCCAGTTTTCCCAGCACCATTTATTAAATAGGGAATCCTTTCCCCATTGCTTGTTTTTCGCAGGTTTGTTCAAAGATCGGATAGTTGTAGATACGCGACATTATTTCTGAGGGCTCTGTTCTGTTCCATTGATCTATATCTCTGTTTTGGTACCAGTACCATGCTGTTTTGGTTACTGTAGACTTGTAGTATAGTTTGAAGTCAGGTAGCATGATGCCTCCAGCTTTGTTCTTTTGGCTTAGGATTGACTTGGCGATGCAGGCTCTTTTTTGGTTCCATATGAACTTTAAAGTAGGTTTTTCCAGTTCTGTGAAGAAAGTCATTGGTAGCTTGATGGGGATGGCATTGAATCTATAAATTATCTTGGGCAGTATGGATGGATTCACAGCCGAATTCTACCAGAGGTACGAGGAGGAACTGGTACCATTCCTTCTGAAACTATTCCAATCAATAGAAAAAGAGGGAATCCTCCCCAACTCATTTTATGAGGCCAGCATCATCCTGATACCAAAGCTGGGCAGAGACACAACCAAAAAAGAATTTTAGTCCAATATCCTTGATGAACATTGATGCCAAAATCCTCAATAAAATACTGGCAAACCGAATCCAGCAGCACATCAAAAAGCTTATCCACCATGATCAAGTGGGCTTCATCCCTGGGATGCAAGGCTGGTTCAATATACGCAAATCAATAAATGTAATCCAGCATATAAACAGAACCAAAGACAAAAGCCACATGATTATCTCAATAGATGCAGAAAAGGCCTTTGACGAAATTCAACAACGCTTCATGCTAAAAACTCTCAATAAATTAGGTACTGATGGGACATGTCTCAAAATAATAAGAGCTATCTATGACAAACCCACAGCCAATATCGTACTGAATGGGCATAAACTGGAAGCATTCCCTTTGAAAAGTGGCACAAGACAGGGATGCCCTCTCTCACCACTCCTATTCAACATAGTGTTGGAAGTTCTAGCCAGGGCAATGAGGCAGGAGAAGGAAATAAAGGGTATTCAATTAGGAAAAGAGGAAGTCAAATTGTCCCTGTTTGCAGACGACATGATTGTATATCTAGAAAACCCCATTGTCTCAGCCCAAAATCTCCTTAAGCTGATAAGCAACTTCAGCAAAGTCTCAGGATACAAAATCAATGTACAAAAATCACAAGCATTGTTATACACCAATAACAGACAAACAGAGAGCCAAATCATGAGTGAACTCCCATTCACAATTGCTTCAAAGAGAATAAAATAGCTAGGAAGCCAACTTACAAGGGACGTGAAGGACCTCTTCAAGGAGAACTACAAACCACTGCTCAATGAAATAAAAGAGGATACAAACAAATGGAAGAACATTCCATGCTCATGGGTAGGAATAATCAATATCATGAAAATGGCCATACTGTTTTATAATTTATTTAATGAAAGAGTTGAATGGAGAGGTATGAGAACTGATACAATGAAGATTTTAAGGACATGGACAAGTGGCTGTTCCTGGAATTCATTCCTGTCAGAAACCTATATCCGTGTTACTTACATCCTCACTTTATATTTTTCCTCGAATAATACCTTCTGAGTGATGCTTTCCTTGGCATTGGACATTTCTTAATCCCCTTTGAAAACTTATTATTTAACATCCTATAAATTGTATTTATCTGGCTATTACCTGTCTTTCCTATGAGAATGTAAGCTTTCCATAGTAGGGATTTCTACTTGTTTGGTTCACTCTATGTCCTCAGCACCTAGGATAAGTCCTGGCACAGAGTAGCCTCTCAATAAATATTTGTAAAATGAATGAACAAACAAATGAGTCCTGAGGTTCTTACCCTTGGGGACAGAGGGATGCCAGCATTATTAAAATATACAAGAGAGATAATCAGTGAAGGCAGAATGCTGTGCTTGAACTGGATGGTGTTGATTTAGAAAGGAAGATGGCATTCGTCAAAGTGAGGTCAGCAGGCAGCTGGGAATCAAGGAATCAAAGGACTGATGGGCCAAACTAAATTGATACTGAATTCAACTCAGCATTCAGCCCCTCTATTTACAAATAGCTGTACCTGGCTGTCAGTCTTGCTGAAGAAGTTTGATCAGGCGTAAAATAGATAGCTTAATAAGGACATTCTCTAAGTTTATTCTCTTGTTTAAGAACAAACAAATGAACAACCAAAAAGTGCAGTTCAATTTTCTACAAAAGAGGTAGTCTGTTTCACAGAGGGATTAAATGCTACTGTTTTATCTCTGGGCTGTGACAGGATTAACCAACTTTTTCTGATTCCCAAATGTTGGATCTGACTTATCTGTTACTGCTTATTGTGCAGGAGAAAGATTAGTTGTTAGAGTTAAAAATAATAACAGCCCTGTTGAATGTATCTTCATTGAAGACTCTGATGTTGAAATAGATTTAAGGAAACATGATACATATTTTCCCTGTGTGTTAGGCTTCTGCTAAATATTTCTTTCAAGCTTTGAGGTTTGCTTGTTGTGGGGCTAAATGAACAAAAGCTTTTTCAGGTGACTCTAGTCCAGTGGTTCTTCAACTTTGGAATATATATGATTCAACTGTAAGTGTGTTAAGTGCAGGGCCCTGCCTGGGAGAGATGATTCAGAACTTCTGGTGTGGTTAGGCCCAGGAGTCTGAATTTCAAACAATAACCTTTGGTGATTCTGATGCAAACATTGTGGGACACTTGGAGAAAAATAACTGTAGGTGAGTTTAACTTTTTAAAATTATTTCATTTTCTTCTGTGTATCACTTACATGCATTAATGTATTGGAAGCTTGGTAATAATATAGGTGAGTGATACAGGTGCACCAAAGTTAGCAGTTTCACAGCTGTGAAGAATTATACCTACAACAAAGAGAGAAACACAAAAAGGAACACACACTGTGCTCCCACAGGAAGTTGAAAATCTAATCCGAAGCAGTGAATTAACTGGCAAGAAGATAAGAAGGTATAATATATTAGCTTCCCATTGCAGCCGTAAGAAATTTTTGCAAATTCAGTGGCTTCACACAACACAAACTTATTGTCTTACTCTTCTGGAGGTTAGAAATCCAAAATGAGTTTTACAGTGCTAAACCAAGGACTGTGGAGGGCTGGTCCCTGTGGAGGCTCTGTGGGATGATCTGGTTCCCTGCCTCTCCAGCTTCTAATACTGCATCCATTGCCTTCCCTGGCTTGTGGCTCCTTTCTCCATCTTTGCATCTTCACATTTTTTTCACATTTCTGTCTGCTCCTGTCATCGTATTGCCTTCTCCTCTTCGGAGGTCCAACGAACTCTTTCTGCCTCCCCCTTATAATGACATTTGTGATTACACTTAGGATCTACTTTGATAATCCAGGATAATCTCCAGTAATCTAGTAATCTCTTAATTTAATCACACCTGCAAAGTTCTTTTTGCTGTAGAAGGCAACATTAAGATGTAGCTATCTTTGGGGGCCATCACTCAGCCTACCACACACATATTTAGAAAAATGTGACAATATCAGTGTGAATATAGCAAAGTCCTGCCTGTTCCTGGAAGTCCCTGTAAGTAACTTAAACTTGTAAATTCCACAGCTTAGTAAATAAATGTGAAGTGATTTACAAGAAGAGACTATACAGTATGCCACAGTGCTAATTTCCTTGCCTGAAGCAAAATGCAGTTGGAAGATGTAATCAATCTATTATAGCAGCGTTTTAGTACTAGAGTGGACAAGTACCTTCAAAGTTTATTGCCATTTTATGGGAGTCAGAAACATATTGTCAGTCCCTATTGGGTGCAAGGCATCGTATTAGACACAGTAAGGAGTGAAAAGACCGAGCCAATGGTTAAGAAACTTAAAGTCTTGTAGAAAGATAAGCCAAACACACTTTAAGTATAAGAGCCTATAAACCTACAAAATAAGGGCCATGGGGCCCAAAAACCCCCATAGTATGTAGCAGACCTGTTTCAGAATTTTTAGTGAGTGTTTTTCTCATGAATTTTTAGTAAAATTCTGTAAAGAGGGAAGGGGGAAAGTACAAGCAGGGACAGGCCATTAGAGCAACTTTATCAATGATAATACTTGGATTTGCCTTATAACAGTATTTGCTATGGTGTGAAATTTAGCGTAAGGCTGACTTTTGACCTCAGTAAAGAAGTCTAAGTAATCGTTCTCAAAATATTCATTATATGTATCTGTGGTGCAGATTCTTCGTGAGATTCACCAAGAGGCTTTGAGATGTCTTTCTGCAATGTGTTTTTGTTAGACTGATAGGTTTTGAGGTAGTTGTGGTTTTCATATCATCATGTGCCTCCTTCTTAGCACTGAGATTTTACTCCCCATCCATCACCAATTGTAAATTCTCCTCCTTCTCAGAATGAGTTCTTCGACTATGGTGATGGAGGGTGCCTGTTACTGGCTGTTCTTGCCGTAAAAACCACAGCACAAATTCTTCACCTGTAATATTATGCTTTTCTACTCACTGGCCTTCTTGTCTCAATGCATCTTAAGTTCTGTTGCCTAAATAATCTCCCTTTGTCGTTTTCAATCATGTCACTCTGCCTCAAACTCGGCAGTGGCTCTCAACTCCTCAAAGCCTCATGTCCAGTCTTCATATGAGACGTCAAGGCTCTTTGGGCTCTGCCATTTGCCACTCCCGGGCCAGTGCCTTCCCCTTCCTCCTTCCAGCTTCTTCTTTATGTTCATTGGCTCTTGAATGTGAATCTGGGCATTAGTTCCCTGTTTCTTCTAGACTTTCATGTGTATTTATTTCCCTTTTGCTTAGAAAAAAAAATGTTATCTTCTGAATTTTAAATAAGACTAATACTCCTGAGCTTTTAGTTTCTTGTTTACAACATCCTTTCCTCTTTGTATCACCCTGCTGCTTTTTCCCTGGCTTGTTCTGTTTTCCTGATTTGTAGGAAGAACCCCCAAATCAAATTATATTCACATAGGTGAATTAATTCAGCTTTACCGGCTGCAATTCAGTGCATTGTGGTTTTGGAATTATTAAAGAGGGGGACTAGTTTTTCAGTTATAGGCAAAAGGAGAAGTAAATGTATTGTTATAGTGGTATTTTAAAGCTGTGAAATAATTACTGTGTCTTCCAAAGTTTCTGATGTACTCTTGCAGCATAAAATTTTCTCAGAGAATAGCTCTGGCAAGTCAGAAGGTTTATTTAACTTAAAGTACCAAATTACAAATGTCAAATTAGAGAAAATGTTATTTAAGTCTTTAACAGGTGCACTACTGTTGTAAATGTTTTTTTCTTTTTCTTGGCTGTGTGGTATAACTATACACTGTTTCACGTGATTATATAACAACTACCACAATTCATTTTTAAACAACAAATCATTAATACAGTCTAGAAGAAAGGCTTTAGACAGAGAGATTTAGTTTCATTCCCTTGAAATCGAATCAATGACTAGAAAATCTCTTCAAATTCTTAATGAACAAAATCAGAATTTATTGCTAATTCCAGGTAGTTTATGATGATAAACTTAAAAAGTCTGTAAGGTACATTAAGTTATTAGAAGAAAGTCTCTAAATTTATTTAGTAGAAGATTTCATAATAATTCTGACAACTGAATGTGTCTTCTTTTTTTGCATTATATTGCAATTATATATGTATTTTTACCTTTCTTTAAATAATTTTAGTACAATGAAAGATAGAACTTTGTATGTAATAATTTGAGTAATTGCTCATCTTTACTCTCATGGGACTCTGACCTTGTTCCGCTGAGTCACCATCTCTTTAGATAGAACTTTTCTGAAGAGCCAATGTAAATTAGATCAAATTTGTTATTCTAAATTATAGGACCATGTTATTGTGTCTCCCCCAGTGGACTACAAGCTTCTTGAAAGAAGGGAGCTTTTGTCTTTTGCTTACCTTTGGACACTCAGCATGTGAATAGTGACCTGACCCTTAATAGACTCTTATTAACTATTAACTGAATAAATAAATGTCCCATTGATGAAATCCTTAAACAGTCTTTGATGTTCTTTTTCTAAATTGCACAGCTATGAGATATAATTAATTCAAATCTATCTGAAGTTCTCTTCCATTTTGACACTTTCCTAAAGAATATTCTACCCTAATAGTGTTGAGTATCTGGCACCAGTGCTGTGTTTCCTACCCTTGTGTACACAGCTGGCATTTCACGGATTACAGCACTTTTTTCTGCCAAGTCCAGATATGGTCTCAGGATTCTTCCCAGCATGTCCTGTAAGCAGCCACCCACAGTGTCAGGATAGCTGAAACTTTATTGCCATCTTTGACTTGTGGGAAAGTGAGATGACCAAAGGGGTTGAAGATATCTGCCTTTAGTATGTTTTTCCTTTCAATGATAAAAATACTTAAAATCTATAAAGAGATGAAATAAACATTTATAGCGAGTCCATGAAATTACAGAGTAAAGGCTACTAGGTCCCATAGAAACACCAACAGGAGCTCCCATTTTATCCTAAGGGATCAAAAATTTGTAGTCCTCCACCTTAGCTCATTGCTATGATGTATTACCACCAGGGTGGTGCCATAAGCATATTTTTCCACAGTCAGCGTCTGTTTTGTGTTGGTTACTACAGTGATTTCTGTTCAATCAGTAACAAGTTCATGGCCAGTCAGGAAAGCAAAGAAGAATACACAGGAGTAAAGGATGGAGAAAGGTCGCTGAGCAGTTGATTTGTGTTGTCAAGGGAAATAAAAAATGTAAAGGAGTAAAACTGTGTCAGGACAAAAAAAACCTTTTCATTATTTTCTCTTCAAAATAAATGTAGACTAGATGAGAAGAATTTTGGCATGTTTGTATGACACACCAACCTCTCAGACGTAATATAATAAATAGATAATGATAAACTATAGCCCCCAGAAGGAACTTTGAGCTGAGACCCAGAGAAGTTAATGACTCTCACAACTAGACAGTAGTTACAGAAAGTTGACCCTCCAGTCCCTGCATACCATTTCCTAGTGTAATGTCCTTTCCACCGGACTAAATGTTTATAGAGTTTGGTTTATATTGGTTGTTGGAAGAAGCTCTGCAGAGGAAGAGATAAAGCCTAGTAAGCAATTTACAGTTTCAGAGCTGGGCTCTTATCATGGAATGTCAGAAAACGCTGCAAATAAGCAGGTGTAATAAAATTATATTTTATTGCTTTTGAGTAATAACTATGTTTATGAAGATTTACTCTCTATGTTATGATTAAGTAGGACCTAGTTACTCTAAAAGAAGAAAACAACTGTGATTTCTTTTCACAGTGTAAAGTGAATTATTGTACAAAATTCACTTGATTAACCATACAGGAATTACTCGGTTTGCAAAATATTTTGTACTTTTCTCCCACTTGTTCAACTGGGTCTCATGTGTTCCAGCAGGTCACTGGAGTGAGATACTGGGAGTACAGATAAGGTGAATGATTGTTTTTAAGTAAAAATGTGACTACAATTGGCTTTACTTGGTAACTAAAGGACATGTTCAACAGAGGGTTAGGACTGATTGAATAAATCCATCTATTTCTCTGCATCCCTACTGCCATCTCTCCAGTCCAAACCACGGTTATCTTTCATCTGGACTTCTACAATAGTCTAACTCATGTCCTTTTATTTGTTTCTGTTTCCTCCTAATCCATCATCTTCACTGCAGCCAATGTAGTCTGCTAAAACCTAATTCTGATCATGTCATTCTATGGCTTAAAATCTTTAAGTGACTTGCTTGTGCCGACGGTATTAAATTCATATTTTGCAATTCGGTTTACAGACACTTGTGTAATATATTTTGTAGCTTCTCTTTACTTCTTCAGTGTCACCTATCACTATATATCTCCTCACTTTTCTAATTAGTCTTTCTGCCTGCAGTTTTAACAGGCAGCTTTCTATATCTTAGTTCACCTAGTATAGGTTGTGATTTTTCTGAAATGTGAAACTAATTTTATCATGTTCTGGCTTAATATCCTCCTATGAATTCCCACACTTTAAAAGAATGTATTGTTAATGTTATTTTTTTTTTTTTGAGATGGAGTCTTGCTCTGTCACCAAGGCTGGAATGCGATGGCGTGATCTTGGCTCACTGCAACCTCTGCCTGCACCGTTCAAGCAATTCTTCTGCCTCAGCCTCTCAGGTAGCTGGGATTACAGGCATGCACCACCATGCTCAGCTAATTTTTATATTTTTGTTAGAGATGGGGTTTCGCCATGTTGGCCATGCGGGTCTCGAAATCCTGACCTCAGGTGAGATCCACCTGCCTTGGCCTCCCAAATTGCTGGGATTACAGGCGTGAGCCACTGCCCCTGGCCAATTCCCACACATTTTAAAATAACATCCTAGTATTCAGTAATCCCTTTACGGTCACTTATTATTTGGTCAGAACTGTTGTCATAGTACATATTGTTACCTTAGTCTGGGATATCATCCTCCTCTTGGTAGCTTCCTGTGTCCAGCTTATCTTTCAAGATTCAGCTGAAACTTCCCCTCCTCTGAGATGGGTCCTTATTACATACTTCATACTTCCTTAGGACCTATACATACCTATGAAACTCATTCATTTGCTCATTTATTCATCAAAGTTGTATCTAGTAGGCATTTGAGAGGCAAACTGAACAAAATATTTCGACTCACAAAACTGGCTTTTATTTATTTATTTATTTTTATTATTATTATACTTTAAGTTTTAGGGTACATGTGCACAATGTGCAGGTTAGTTATATATGTATACATGTGCCATGCTGGTGTGCTGCACCCATTAACTCGTCATTTAGCATTAGGTATATCTCCTAATGCTATCCTTCCCCCCTCCCCCAACCCCACAACAGTCCCCAGAGTGTGATGTTCCCCTTCCTGTGTCCATGTGTTCTCATTGTTCAGTTCCCATCTATGAGTGAGAACATGTGGTGTTTGGTTTTCTGTCCTTGGGGTAGTTTACTGAGAATGATGATTTCCAGTTTCATCCATGTCCCTACAAAGGACATGAACTCATCCTTTTTTATGGCCGCATAGTATTCCATGGTATATATGTGCCACATTTTCTTAATCCAATCTATCATTGTTGGACATTTGGGTTGGTTCCAAGTCTTTGCTATTGTGAATAGTGCCGCAATAAACATACATGTGCATGTGTCTTTATAGCAGCATGATTTATAGTCCTTTGGGTATATTCCCAGTAATGGGATGGCTGGGTCAAATGGTATTTCTAGTTCTAGATACCTGAGGAATCGCCACACTGACTTCCACAATGGTTGAACTAGTTTACAGTCCCACCAACAGTATAAAAGTGTTCCTATTTCTCCACATCCTCTCCAGCACCTGTTGTTTCCTGACTTTTTAATGATTGCCATTCTAACTGGTGTGAGATGGCATCTCATTGTGGTTTTGATTTGCATTTCTCTGATGGCCAGTGATGCTGAGCATTTTTTCATGTGTCTTTTGGCTGCATAAATGTCTTCTTTTGAGAAGTGTCTGTTCCTATCCTTTGCCCACTTTTCGATGGGGTTGTTTTTTTTTCTTGTAAATTTGTTTGAGTTCATTGTAGATTCTAGATATTAGCCCTTTGTCAGATGAGTAGGTTGCGAAAATTTTCTCCCATTTTGTAGGTTGCCTGTTCACTCTGATGGTAGTTTCTTTTGTGTGCAGAAGCTCTTTAGTTTAATTAGATCCCATTTGTCAATTTTGGCTTTTGTTGCCATTGCTTTTGGTGTTTTAGACATGAAGTCTTTGCCCATGCCTATGTCCTGAATGGTAATGCCTAGGTTTTCTTCTAGGGTTTTTATGGTTTTAGGTCTAACGTTTAAGTCTGTAATCCATCTTGAATTAATTTTTGTATAAGGTGTAAGGAAGAGATCCAGTTTCAGCTTTCTACATATGGCTAGCCAGTTTTCCCAGCACCATTTATTAAATAGGGAATCCTTTCCCCATTGCTTGTTTTTCTCAGGTTTGTCAAAGATCAGATGGTTGTAGATATGCGGCACTATTTCTGAGGGCTCTGTTCTGTTCCATTGATCTATATCTCTGTTTTGGTACCAGTACCATGCTGTTTTGGTTACTGTAGACTTGTAGTATAGTTTGAAGTCAGGTAGCGTGATGCCTCCAGCTTTGTTCTTTTGGCTTAGGATTGACTTGGCGATGTGGGCTCTTTTTTGGTTCCCTATGAACTTTAAAGTAGGTTTTTCCAATTCTGTGAAGAAAGTCATTGGTAGCTTGATGGGGATGGCATTGAATCTATAAATTACCTTGGGCAGTATGGCCATTTTCACGATAGTGATTCTTCCTACCCATGAGTATGGAATGTTCCTCCATTTGTTTGTATCCTCTTTTATTTCATTGAGCAGTGGTTTGTAGTTCTCCTTGAAGAGATCCTTCATGTCCCTTGTAAGTTGGATTCCTAGGTATTTTATTCTGTTTGAAGCAATTGTGAATGGGAGTTCACTCATGATTTGGCTCTCTGTTTGTCTGTTATTGGTGTATAAGAATGCTTGTGATTTTTGTACATTGATTTTGTATCCTGAGACTTTGCTGAAGTTGCTTATCAGCTTAAGGAGATTTCGGGCTGAGACAGTGGGGTTTTCTAGATATACAATTATGTCATCTGCAAACAGGGACAATTTGACTTCCTCTTTTCCTAATTGAATACCCTTTATTTCCTTCTCCTGCCTCATTGCCCTGGCCAGAACTTCCAACACTATGTTGAATAGGAGTGGTGAGAGAGGGCATCCCTGTCTTGAAAAACTGGCTGTTTCATGTGACTTGAGCTAATAGATAAAAATCTTTGCCCTCATGCAATGTGCATTCTGAAAAAATGGTAGCAAGAAGCAAAATGAATAAATAAAACTTATATTTTGCTAAATGGTGGTAAGTGTTTCAGGAAACAATAAAGCAAGAAAAGGAGATAGATGGTCCTGGGGTCAGAGGGAAGGATTTTCAGCAAGTGTGGGATTTGGACAAGTATCTAAAGAAGATGGAGGAACTAGCCATGGGGCTATCTAGGGGAAAACTCAAAATCCTTGATCGAGAATCTCTCTGGTATGTTTGAGGAGTGAAAAGGAAGCTAGTGTTATGAGTGGATTGAAGTTAGTGTGGAGCAAAGGACTAGGATATGAATCCAGAGAGCTAAAAGGGATTAGATTAGTATAGGACATTTGGGGCCCTTGTAAAAACCTTGGCTTCTACTGTGAGGGGAGAAGCCACTGAAGGAGGAAAACCAGAAGAGTGCGTGATTTGAAGCTCATTTTAACAAGAAGGTTTTGATTACTGTATACATAACAGCTTGAAGGAGCAAGGGACGAGGCATCAGTAGGAAAATAAAGCAGTCATTCAGGCAAGAAATGGAGAAGGCATGGACCAGGGTGGTAGTAGTGGGGTTGTGAGAAGTGGTTGGATTCTGGATGTATTGTTAAAAGTAGAGCCAGTAGGATATGCTGACTAACTGAACATGGAGTGTGAGAGAAAGAGGGGAAACAAGGATGATGAACATACAGGGGTTGGGTATGGACAGCTGGATAGAAGGAAAGAATTACCATTAACTGAGGTGGGAAAGATTTTAGAAGGAGAAGTGTGTGTGTGTGTGTGTGTGTGTGTGTGTGTGTGTGTGTGATATCAGGAGTTTGGTTTTAGACCTGTTAAGTTTGAGATGCTTGTTAGATCTCCAAGTAGAAATGTCAGGTGGACAGTTGAATTCATGAGTCTGGAAGTCTGGAATAACTGGATAAACTTTTGGCATCTACATGACATTTATGGCCATGAGACTAGATGTTATCACCCAGGCACTGAGCGTAGCAGAAAAGTAAAGAGATCAATGTATTGAAACCTGGGAACCCTCCAACATTAATCAATGATTGGGATGAGTAGAAGGAGGAATCGGGCAGGAGACTGAGGAGTGGCAGTGAGATAGATAGAAAAGTAAGAGAAGCGAATAAAATGCTTTAAGGACAGGAAGTGATCGATCAACTGTGCAAATGCTGCTGACAGCTGAAGCATGTTGAAGACTGAGAACTGACTGTTGGATTTGGTATCTTGAGGCCATTAGTGATCTTTAGGTGAACAGTTCTACTAGAGTAGTTGGAATGAAAGCCTTGTTGAAATGAGTTCAAGGGAGACTAAAAAAAGGTATAAATAGGTGAATGCCCTACTTGCACCGATAGTCTCAGGTTGTAAGTATTCTCAGATGTGTTTTGGTTTGGCTGTTAACTGACATGTTCACCTTGGCTATACAGGAAACTCTTTCAAGGAGCATTATCTGGAAACCATAGCTGGAGGAACTGTAATCAAGAAAGCATAGATTGGTGATGTGGGAGATAAAGGGAGGAATTTGGGGAACTGTGCCTTTGAAAAGGCAAGAGGAGGTTAAATGTGAAGAGCTTAGCCTTGGATAGGAGCTTAGTCAGTTCATCCTTTGAAATGGCAGGGAAGGGAGGGTACATTGTTATATTTCTCACATTGTATTTTTGTTGTTAATTTATTTGTTTGCTTTTCCACATAGTATGAACCTCTTAAGAGCAGTAAGTATGAATGTCTTGTTCATTTTGTGGTAGGAATTTTATTGTTCTATTTCTATTCCCTAGTACAATGCCTAGCACACAGCAGGTAAATAATAGAAGTTTGAATGAGCAAATGAAGACGCTGTGCTGAACATGTATATGTTTTATCTTCTTGCTTAAATTGGATCATTTCCATTAAATCTTGACAAGCAGATTAATTTAATTGTGTTTCTTTTGTCTGGGTGTACAGACAGCTTGACTAACTGGTAAGATCGATTGATAGGAATGGCTGTGTTTCCACCAAAAACAGGGAAGCGTCCTAAGAGTAAAACCAGTGACATTTGCTGTATCATTTTAGAGTAGTTCCGGTTATGGTTTTAACATGAATCTACTAGATACTTTATGTAGAATCTTTTGAAAGCTATTCATTCTTCCTCAGTATCCATTTTACATTTATATTTTACCATTCATATGGCAGGTATCATTATCTGTGGTAACAATGTAACTTAATAAATGAGAAGGTCTTTGAGAGTGGTGATTGTATCTTCATTGCTTTTTATCTCAATAATGCATGTCTTCTTCACTGCTAAATTAAAAATGCTTAGTCCAGGCCCTGATACAAGATGGGTGCGAATAAATATTTGTTGAATGAATGAATGCACAAATTAATGAAGACTGTCTCTTGTGGATGTTGTTGGTGCACAGACAGACTAGATCCCTTTTCCTGTTTGGTATGCACGTCTTCTAGCTTCCACTGCTTTGCTCCTAACAGCTCACACAGGACATCTTCTCCAAAGGACTATCTCTGGGCAGTGAGACCTACATCACCAAGATGCTCAAGAACCAGAAGTGCCTGGGGTTTTATGTCTTCCCCTTGGTAACCAGTAGCCAATGACAAGGTGCAAGAGTATGGAAGTCTAGTTCTCTTGCCTCAAGGCAGTGTGAACTCACCAGCGTAATTCACACTCCAGAGCTCCTGTGGATCAGGCTGAGTCCAGGACTTCACCTGAAATTGCACCCTTGCTTAGTTTATTATCCTCCATTTTCCTGCTTCCCCCATTCTCCTGTAAGTTTCTCCTTAGAGCACTTCTTTATTAAATCACTTGTACATTCATCCTTTTTTAAAGGTCCGCTTCCTATGAACTTTACTTCAGATATTGCATGTTTGTTCACAGTTATTGTCAGGGGTAGGGGATCCTAACCACTACCTTCTTAAGAGTGTCAAGTTCTGCTGTTGCAGGTAGTCTCTCCTGATAGTTTTTGGTTTTCTAATACTGCCAGCCCAAAATGTTGGTGACTGTAGACTAAATTTGATATTTTATTTAATTGTTGGTAGGAAAGTAGCTTTACAATTTCAGTCAATAATTGTTGTAGAATTTAGTAAATAACTTACTGCATTGCAGGTCTTTCGAACATACAGTCAGAATGTGTTTTCCTTGACTTCATACTCTTTTTAATTACACACATTTCTGTTCTCTCTCTTTAGGCAGAGATAATAAAGAGTTAATCATATAATCAATTTTTATTATAAATAATAATAGATGATGTATAACATGTACAGCTTTATTTGTTTTTAATTGAATGTAAATATTCAATGAGTACAAATTTCTTTTTTTATTGAATGTAAGTGTTCACTTCTATATACTGAGTAAACCATTTTTTTTTTTTAGATATTTGAAAAGAACACAAATTCCCTTATCTGTAAAATGGGATTGGAAGTAATATGTTTTAGAACTGAAAGCACTTTAGCAGCCAGCTGGTGGCCAACACCTTCATTTTATAAATGAGAGTGTTTGAGACCCAAAGAAATTAAGTAATTTGTTCAATATCACCCACCTTGGTTAGTGGCAGAGTAGGACTAAAATCCAACTCCCAAGCCACTGTGCTCTCTACTGCTCCACAAAATACATATTTCTTTTTCATAGAATTGATATGAGGATTAGGGACCACATCTGTGAAAAATAGATTTAGCCTTTGGAAAGAAAGATGCTAGATAGCTTTATGAAAGCTTTATGAAAACTAATCTCATTTTAACCTTTTCCATACAATTGTTAGTTTTGTTCAGTTTCATGTTACTTGCTTTAGGCTTTTTTTTTTTTTTGGCCAAGGACTAGATAATATACAATGCTTGCTTTAAAAATCAATATTAAGTATCTGGATTGTGTTAGAAATATGAATTATTCTGCTGAGTTTGAAGCCAGGAGCAGTTGCAGACAGCCTTCCAGAATGGTGATTGCTTGTGTACATGAAAAGTTTTCTATCCCTACTTTGCATATTGGGAATAAAGACAGTTGATTCCAAAGAAAAAAAGGAAGCATAAATTATAGATATATATTCTCAGTCTGGTAATACTTCGGAAGCTTGATACAACCTGTCTTTAACAAACCATGAATTTTTTCTCCTGCCAAGCCACCATATCCTGCCTACTTTCAGCATAGTCAGGGTCCCATTATACTAATCCACTGTACCTTCCTATCTCTAGCAAGCACATGTAAGTGATAACGTTGAATATTTATTTTGATGCAAGGTGTATAAATCTTCTCAATGTCATCTTGTAAAGCGAGGAAATTGTGACTTGCTCTCCTTGGTTACTTCAATTACTTCAATTGTTTAAGTTTGGTCCTTTCAGCCCCACTGTGCTTTGATATAGTGTATGAACGAGAATCCTGTTTAAGTTTTGTAGTATTCTAAGTGATTTGTGTAGATTCATATTTGCAGGGAAGATAAAACTCAAGTGCTAAAAGGCTAAAGTAACTTTTATATATATTTTTAATTAGGTACGATTATATGCAAGACCTGATGCTATCAGAAGAGGATCCGGGGACTATGCTCTCCATATAACAAAGAGATTAATAGAATTTTATGAAGACTACTTTAAAGTGCCCTATTCCTTGCCAAAACTAGGTAAGAATTTTCTTGGTTATTTTATTGGAAGGGCTCCTTGAAAGTGGAATTTCTTCTTCATGTGTTTATTTGAGCCATCCAGAAGCATGAAAATTCTGAGATTTATATTTTTAGAGAAGATAAGCACAAAAAAAAATTTCTTTTGAAGAGGTAAAATAAGATTTAGTGTTTCTGGAATCTTGCCAATAAGTGCTCATAGGAATTAAGAAAGGCATTATGTTAGTTTAGGATTCCAAAAGACAAGCCAAATAGCTATAATTTGTTGAATATGTACTATGGAGGGGTGCTTGCCAACATCATATTTAATCAGTAAAACTACCATGAGGGTAGGTACAACTAGAACATTTTCCACATAAGGGAGTTGAGACCCAGGGAGTTTTCCATTCATCTGGACAGCCAGTAAGTGAAGGGGTTGGGATTTCAAACTAGGTCTTGATGACTCCCCGAACAACTCAATATTTTACATGGAGAAGACATTCATTGATTTGTTTCTCCTTCCAAATTTTCACATGTCAGACCTCGATGTATGTTATCCCTTAGATTATTTTTGTTCAGTCATATATCTAGTACACTATTATAGTAAATACAATACAAATAAGAGAGAAGAGAAACTTGGTAATAATGGAGATTGTATTCTCTGTGAGTGTTCTTATATTTCTTCCTTTTACAAAGAGAATGCACTTGGTAATTGTCGGTCAAATGCATAAATGAATTAATTGGTTATCTGAATTTCAATGAGGCTGCTGCTTTTGCCAGGGAGTCAACACGATTTTCCAGGAAGTTAAAAGAGTACCTACATGCATTAGAAATGTGGAAGTTATTTTTCCTTCCCAGAAAACCTGTTTTGAAATATTACATCACAACAGTCCTTTGCTCCCCTCTCTTCCCTCCTCTTCCCTTATCTTTCCCAAGAGCATTTTTGATCAGATTCCACGTTAAAGGTATTTCTCATTGGCAAGAATAAAGTGCTTACTTGATCAAAAGTTTTTGTGTTTGAACCACAGGGTCTCCTCCCTGGAGAACCAGGCCGCTTTCATTAAAGTACCTGCCTGCTGTGTAGCTTTATTGGTCTTGCAATGAGTAGTTAGTTCAGAAAGTTGACAGAATAGTTGATATTGTTATCAATGGGTGTGACATACAATTTTTATGAGTGATATTACAAAATTCTGAAATCTTTTTGAAATATGTACTTTTAGAATTCATAGGCAAAATTTTATTTTAAACCGGATCAATGTTTTGTTTTGTTCTGTTTTCCTTCTCTTTTCTCCCTGTATTTCAACTTCCCTGTTAGAATCTGTTATACTTAAATCTCCCTGGTGGTCACCCAAGGCAGAAAGGAATACTTGACCTCATTTGCATGGAAGGTGGCACTGTTATCTACTCCAGGTATAACTGGCTGGGAACTTCCCAGCTTGACCCTAATGTAAAATTCACAAGTGCTTATATTGCAAGTACAGCAAGAGAAATAAAATGTGGATCTTTATTTGTCCCCTTCAGACCAGTAATTAGCAGAGGAACTCAATGTATAACTTCAGGGGGTTCCATGTAACTGTCAGCTTGCAGCAGGAAGCATTTCTGTTCCTCTGTTTCACTCACAATTGAACCACGCAGCCTTTCATCTGTAGAAAAGAGCTTTGCTCACCATTGCCGCTACTTGTTAAGCTACCTTATGGTGTATATAATTGAATGACTTGACTTATCCCAGCATACTTCTTTTTATATATCTAGGGGAGTTACCACAGCCCATGGTGCTTTGTAAAATTTCTCTTAAAGTTCTACTTATTTTATATATCTACAGATATTTAGACCTATATGTTAATGGATTTATAAATATGCTTTGTAAATACCCCTTACATAAAAACCCCTAAGCACATACGCATTTTGACAAATCTCTACTTTCCATTATACATTATGAATCGTATTTTAAATAAATTCTATAGAAACCAGCTTAGTATTTGCTGGTGATGCATATGGATGTATCCTAGATATCAGCTGAGGCTGCCTTGACCCTTCATATCTAAGATGGTTTTCCAGACATATTCTACCCTTTCTACATGCCCTAATTTGATCTATAAGCATTTACTGAGTGCCTACCGTGGACATTTTTCTATGAGAAGCAGATATACCAGTGAATGAACAAGGCAAAAATCTCCTCTCTTCTGGGGCTTACATTCTTTTAGGTGAAGACAGACATTAAAGCAATTAGTAACATTTGTAGCATATCAGATTGGAGATACATGCCATTAAAAATAAAGCTAGAACAGATGGATAGGAAGTGTGGGGGACAGATGGGGCATGGGATAGGGGCTGAGTTTTTAAAATGGGCAATCATGGAAGGCTTCATTAGGAAGATGGCTTTTAAGTGAAGGACTAAACTCAGCAGATATCATGGGGCAAAAACTACAGGCAGAGGGAACAAAGTGCCTAGACATTGAGGTGAAAGTTTTCCTGGTGTTTTTGAGGAACAACAAAGAGGCAAGTGTGACAGGAGCAGAGTGAGTAAAGGGGTGAGAAGTAGATGACACGGTCAAGGAGGAATGGGTGGATGACAGATCATGGACCGCCAGCAGGCTGCAGCTTCCTTCCTTCCTTCCTTCCTTCCTTCCTTCCTTGCTTCCTTCCTTCCTTCCTTCCTTCCTTCCTTGCTTCCTTCCTTCCTTCCTTCCTTCCTTCCTTCCTTCCTTCCTTCCTTCCTTATTCCCTCCCTCTCTCCCTCCCTCCCTCCTTCTCTCTCTCTCTTTCTCTCTCTCTCTCTTCTTTCTTTCTTCCTTCCTTCCTTCCTTCCTTTCTTGTTTTGTGAGATGGAAATCTATGGGTCCATTTTAAGCAGAGGCATTGTAGAATCTGATTAATGTTGTAAAGGGTCATTCTGTGGCTAAACTGAGAATACACTGTAGGGCAATGATTCCCAATTGGGGGACAACTTTGTCCCTCAGGTGCATTTGGTAATATCTGGAGACATTTTTGTTTGTTACAACTTGGGGGGTGAGTACACTGTGTGCTGCTAGCAGTTGGTAGAGGCTCAGCTGATACTGCTAACCATCCTACAATGCACAGAATAGCTCTTCACAACAAAGAGTTATTTAGCCCAAACTATCAATACAACCAAGGTTGAAAGAACCTGATGTAAGAGGACATGACAGAGGTGTGACAACCAGATAAGAGGCTATGGCAAAATTCAGACAAAATATGATGGATGCTTGGATGAGGATGTTAACAGTTAGAGGTCAGAAGTGGTAGCATTCTGGATATATATTGAAAGTAGATACGAAAGTTTTTTTTTTTTTTTTTTGAGACGGAGTCTCGCTCTGTCGCCCAGGCTGGAGTGCAGTGGCGGGATCTCGGCTCACTGCAAGCTCCGCCTCCCGGGTTCACGCCATTCTCCTGCCTCAGCCTCCCAAGTAGCTGGGACTACAGGCGCCCGCCACTACGCCTGGCTAATTTTTTTGTATTTTTAGTAGAGACGGGGTTTCACCGTTTTAGCCGGGATGGTCTCGATCTCCTGACCTCGTGATCCGCCCGCCTCGGCCTCCCAAAGTGCTGGGATTACAGGCGTGAGCCACCGCGCCCGGCCGAAAGTTTTTAATAGTGAACGAAATATGTGATTGTAAGAGAAAGAGAGGCATCTAGGGCAATTCCAAGACTTTTGGCCTGAGAACCAGGAGGGTGGAATTGCCATTTAGTGAGACAGAAGGATTGTGGAAGGTGATAATTTTTGAGACTGACATGTCTATTTAACATTTAGGTGGCACTTTTATGTCTGTAAGAAATCCAGGTAGACAGTTGAATTTATAAATATGGAATTTGGGTGAGTAATCTGACTAGAGAGGTACATTTGCCAGAATATTATGATGTGTAAAGTTGTGAGGCTGAATGGGACTACCACAGCAGTGAAGGCAGATAGAAACAAAACAGGAGCAAGGGGGACTGGTCCCATGCTCAGAGGTTAAAGACTCCTAGGAGTCAGAAACGACTACTGAGCGGGAGCATGTAGTTGATATTAAGGGAACCAGGTGTTTGTGGTGTCTGAGACATCAAGTGGGGAAAGCATTTCAAAAAGTAAGTAATATTTGTGGTAAATCAAGTTAGATGAGGTCTCAGAATTAACCATTAATTGATGCTAGCAATATGAAGGTCACCGGTGACCTTGACAAAAGCAGTTCTAGAATACAGACTTGACAGGTGTGCTTAAAAGCAAATGGGCATGGGGTTGGGGAGGGGGGGACAGTGACTAGAAGCAGTGAGTGAAGATCACATGTTGGCATTTCTAAAAATGTTCAGTGGGGAGGATTCTGGGAATGGAGGGAGAGGGAGACAGGCCTGTAGTATAACAATACTAACAATACCCATCTCTGGAGAAGAGCTGTTTCTGCTGAAGTGATGGCATTCTTACCTCACAAATTATCCCTGTCCCAAATCATGTCCAGGGAGGTGTGGAATTTGCCTCTTTCATTGGTTTGCATTAGAAAACCAAAAATTGAAATAAATAAATAAACAGGAAGACTCTCTACCAGTTGGCCTGACCTGACTTTACTGAAGCTTTGGAAGGAATGTTTGTATGTGTGAATTTCAGGGTGTTACATTGCAAAACAGACAAACAAGAAAGTACAAAAAAAATCTTAAAACTTAGTACTGGATCCTTCTTCTCTTAAAAGTCATTTTGCTGTTCTGTCATAAACTCTACAATACCTTCTTTCTCCCTGAATTCTTTTTTATTTCTGATGTGGAATTAGTTTAAATTTCTCCCCTGCAGCCTCATCTCATGCTAGTTCATCTCTAAGGATTTGAGTTTCCACCTCCAGTAGTTTATCGGGATAGTTCCCTAAGAGGAATTCTGATTCTTGCTGTTAGGACAATAATTTATTCTCTTTGTTACATAAAGACACTCCTGTATCATTGATAAGCCAACATAAGTAACCAGTGCACGCTGTGTGAAAATTTGTTTTTAAATCTCTAAATGAGGTAATTAAAACTAAGGTTTGCAGAGATTTTCTATTTCTTGGTATTAAATTGTAGTAAGAGGTGTAGCACCTACTTAATACAATACACCAATCCTTTCTATATCTATGCGCCCTATTTTCATAAGAACTGTCAGAGGCATGGGGTGTTACTTTAAAAGAAAGTTGTAGACATATAAAGAATTGTTATCTTTTTTTATATCCCAAAAGCATATCGATAACAATGACAACTATTTGTGTTTACTACATGTGAGCCACTTTTAAGGGCTTTGACCATTCCAACCCATTTAATTTTTTTTTTTTTTTTTTTTTTTTGAGACGGAGTCTGGCTTTGTCACCCAGGCTAGAGTGCAGTGGTGTGATCTCGGCTGACTGCAACCTCCGCCTTCCGGGTTCAGCTGATTCTCCTGCCTCAGCCTACCCAGTAGCTGGGACTATAGGCATGTGCCACCACACCCAGCAAATTTTTGTGTTTTTAGTACAGACAGGGTTTCACTATGTTGGTCAGACTGGTGTCAAACTCCTGACCTCAGGTGATCCACCTGCCTTGGCCTCCCAAAGTGCTGGGATTACAGACATGAGCCACCATGCCCGGCCCCCCATTTGATCTTTATTGCAGCTTTTTCTGGTAATTTCTGTTTTTTTTTTTTTTTTCATTTTCCAGATGAGGAAATTTAGGCACTCAGTGACTAAGTAATATGTTTTGACCACACAGCAGAAAACATAGATTTGGAATTCAAACCCAGGCTGTCTGGCTCCAAAATCTTGGGATTCGGCTGAAATGGATTCCAGAAATTTAAATAATTCAGAGATCAAAATATAGCTTGCCTTATAAACTCGATGATTTGATTGTCAGAGGAATGATATAACAGCTATTTTTGTTAATTTTTTACTGATTTTACTGATGGTCTTTGTAGAAAATTTGAAAACTTAAAAAAGTGCACATGTTATAACTCATAATTTTATTAACCTGAAGACATGTGAGTATTGCAAATGTGTTTTAATTTAGGTGCACTATAGTTAATTAGGCATCAGATAAAATGACTCAGGCTTATACTGTAATATTTTGTTATTCACCCTATTTAGACTTCAATTAATGACAGTGTTCAGTTTCCTTTTACTACTACTCTGTAATTTGTAAATCAATGTTTCAAAAAGGAGTTTGATTGCTTTTTTTCAAGACACCATGCTTTTATGAAGAATTCATTACCTATCTGGAACAGTGCTATGATTGTAGAGGGAGCCCAGGTGTTTTGTAACTAGAATTTCTGCCCTCAAGGAGATTGTGGTTTTGTCGAGGAGAGAATGCAATATTTACAGAAATGAATGAATTAGAGACTCGCACAATATGGAATATAATCAAGCACCAACATTTTGTAGAGTAAATATTTAGCACTATGTTGAAAGAGGGATCATTGTACAATGCTGTAGGAATAAAATGCACATAAAGAGAAGTCTTATTTTTACTTCATGCCAGACCAAAAAATACATGAATTTAATTGGAGAAGAAAGGAGAGAAGAGGCCATTTTGAGAATTGTATAGTAGGAAAGTCCATGAATACCCTAGGATCTATGTATCATGCTGATGGAGTCAACATTTTTCTATAATAGAATAGTTAAATTATGGGATAAATTGCCCTATTGAAGTTCACAAATAAGACCCCAGCTTAAATGATTCATTTTTGCTTAAGATACAATAAACATATATATTTTTTATTGTGGTGATGATGATTGTGATGATGATGATAATTTACTACTTGCAAATACTAAAGCTTTTCATCACATATTTGTATTATTAAATTTCTATAGAATATTTATAATGATTCTGGACATTTTATCCTCTGTGGTTATGTGTTTTTGTCTTTAGTGAATATATTTGCTGTTTTTAATTTGAGGTGACACTTATGTAATACTATCTTGATCTTAATCAAACAGCTCATAGTTTGAACCTTTTCTTATGTTTTTTAAAGTATGACTTTTCTTGCCTTGCCTTTGATTAGGTAAATATTGAGTTACTATGTATGTGTTTTGTTACTGGCCTAAAGTAATACAGCCTTTTAAAATACAATCTCTGAGGGTTCTTTATATATAGTTTGGTAGTTTGGTCTAATTTTATATAATGTGAATTCACTCTCAAAATGTTTCCTTCAACAAGAGCTCTTCAAATTATTTGATCTTATACTCAGCTATTGTATGGTTTCTTGGTGGAAACTAACCTAAGGATCTCTCTGTGGGTTAGCATTATTAGTGCTTTTCTGGAGACTTAGCTAAGGTGGTAGTTTGCCTTCTAAGTTAGCAAGTACCATAGAGAAATAAGTTTCTTCAAGGGGCTAACCTTTTCCGCCATCTTTAAAATCAAATAAATGTTGTCTTCCTATTTTATGTAGGTAATTTAATTCTGAAAAACCCTTCATAAGTTTATTTTCTCATAAACCAAAATATCAGTTATCATTTTCTTCAATTGGAAATATTTTTATATGTTTCTAACCCCCCACTCTGACAACCACTTGTGCTAAAACACCACCAGATTGTATTCAAATGGCCACAGTTATTTCAATATTTAATAGTTATTTTAACACAATTTAACAAGGCCTTTTATCCCTTCATTAATTACTCTATAATATGGCCATTTAACTGTTCTTGTTAAGCTATTTTGTAGCTATTACATGCTGTATACATTCAAGATTATAATAAAAAACAAAAAATATATAGGATACTTAATGTTTATGATGTTCAACCACTAATGCAAAAAAGAGAGATAAGCACAATAGTAAGGATGAAAGAAATCAATGAAAACAATGCATCTGAGTGAGAATAATGCATGAGATTATTACTTCTCTAAACTATTTAATGCAATACAAACCAACATACAAGTGAATTAATGGAACCAGCGTTTATTGAGTAGTAACTACGTGTACATTGTGCTCAGCAATGATAGTAAGTGGCCTCTTCTCCTAGAAGCTTAAAATCTAGTTGAAGAGAAGGTTTTTTATTATTTTGCTAGCTTGACAATATTGTTACATTTTTAATTTGTTTACTGCCCTCCTTCGCCTTTCTCTAGTTTTAAGTTTCAGACCTTCACAACTTTGGGTTTACTCCTAAGCATATATTCACTAATTCTAACAGGATTGTAACCTAATCAGGGTGTATTTTAAAGAGGCCTCCAAGGCATTGTTTTACATAATCCAACAGTGTTTTGGCCATTACAGCTTTGCAATTAAGTTAGGAAATAACCATTTTAAACGTTTTCATATTTAGTCATTGCATTAGCCTTTTTCCTTATACTCCGCTGTTTCCCCTATTACTATGGGTCAACTGGCATTGCTCTAGTAATAGATACTTCCTCCTTTTGTGCACCTCATCCCATCCTTTCTCATCTGCTCAAGGACATTGCTTCAGGAATTTTTCCTTTTTTCCTGAATCTTCAATTTTTTCTCTTTATTGAATTTTTCCCTATCAGCATTAAAAATATGGTGCTATTTCTCTCAACCACACACATGCACATTCACTCCAGCTACTGACCCATTTTTTCTCCTTCCTTTTACAGTTAGACTGCTTGAAAGGATTGTCCATCTGCACTGACTTGAATTTCTCTCTTGTCTTTTGAATGCATTTTACATCAGACTTCCCCTCAACACTATACTAAAACTTCTCAAATTCGATAATGCCTCCACACTGCTAAATCCAATGCTCCATTCTCAGCCTTTATCTTGAGCTATCAGCGGCATCTGACACAATTGTTCTCTCCAACTCCTTGAAACACAGTTTTTCATTTGTCTTTCAGGGCAACACTTTTTTTCTGTTTTGTTTTTCCTACCCATTGGCCACTCTTTCTAAGTCTTCTTTCCCTGCTCTTTTGCCTTTCTAGCTGCTTAAACCATGAATGCCCCAGAACTCAGGTTGGAATCTCTTCTCTTTGCTATTTACATTGGTAGTGGCCTCCCTTGGTTACCTCATTCAGTCTTATGGCTTTAAACACCATATGCTGATACTTATGATTCCTAAATTTTCATCTCCAGCCTGGTTCTTTCTCCTTAACTCCAGGCTTTTATGTTTTACTGATATCTGTGCTTGGATGCCTAATGAGTATATTAAATTGGCATGTTTAAATTTGAGCCCCAGATCTTAAACCACCATCATTTGGATATAAAATCTTGGCCTTAGATACTTTTTCTGTAATATGACACATCTGACCTATCAGCAAATCCTTTTGGCTCCACACTCTAAATGTATCCAGAATCTGATCACTTTTCACTATTTCCATTGCTAGTACTCTCATTCCAACCACCGTACTCTTTTGCTTTCCATTGCTAGTATTCGCATTCCAACCACCATACTCTTTTGCTTTCCATTGCTAGTATTCGCATTCCAACCACCATACTCTTTTGCTTGGGGTCAAGAGTTCAACCTAAATAAAATTTGAAGTTAAAGAGTTAATTTACAGAGTTTTTGTGAGGGATGTTGAATTTACCTGGTGATTCTGCTGTTCAAACATTTCAATGGCTTCCCATTACTCATAAAGTCTAAGATTCTGATATGGTTTGACTGTGTTCCCACCCAAATCTCATCTTGAATTGTGGCTCCCATAATTTCCACATGTTGTGCAAGGGACCCAGTGGGAGATGATTGAATCATGGGGGTGGTTTCCCTCAGACTGTTCTCCTGGTAGTGAATAAGTCTCACGAGATTTGATGGTTTTATAAGGGGAACACCCTTTCGCTTGGTTCTCATTCTCTCTTGCCTGCAGCCATGTAAGATGTGCCTTTTGCCTTCTGCCATGATTGTGAGGCCTCCCCAGCCATGTGGAACTGTGAGTTCATTAAACCTCTTTTTCTTTATAAATTACTCAGTCTCAGGTACGTCTTTATCAGCAGTGTGAAAACAGACTAATACAGTAAATGATTCTTTCCTTGGCTTGCAAGACCCTGCATGCTTGCCCCTACCCTTTACCCCCCCGGACCCTCTAATCTCATTTATTTCCCTCCTACTCCTCTCTGTTTCAGCTGCACTGCATTCCTCGCTGTTTCTCCAACAGGCCAAACCCATTCCAACCCAAGGCCTTTGTTCTTGTTCTTCCCTCAGCCTAAAACATTTTTCATTCAAATAGATGCATGGCTGAAATATCACTCTGCTTCAGTGAGGTCTTCTCTGATCCCTCTGTTATATTTCAGTCTTGCAGATCATTTCCCAAATCTCTTCCCTGATTTACTTTTCTCCATGGTATTTTTTAATTATCTTACTTAACTTGTGTTTTGTTTATGTATTATTTATTTTCTTTATTATTTGTTTCCCACATCTCCCTTATTTCTTTACCCAAATGTAAGTTCTATGAAAACAAGTGTTTTTGCCTGTTGGTTCACTGCTCTATTCCCTCTACTGAGATGTGTGCCTGGCCCAAAGTGGCACTCAATAAATTCTTGTTAAATGAATAATACCTAACTTCTTCCTGTTGTAATCATTTTCACAACACAGGAGAGAAAGAGAAGGCAAAGCTTCAGCTGCTGTGTAAATAAAATAAATATGATTTCAAAGAAATAATGGTGCTGTACCTTATAAACTACCAAGAAAACTCTTCTCTGTAAATAAAAATGGAAGAGATGAAGGATGACTTAACTATAGTTGCAGCTATTTTCTCATTAAGGATCCCCGTAAAGGAAATTGTTGGTGAAAAATGGGTGAGTTAGTACCTGGAAGAAATAATGAGCTTTTGGATTATTATCATAGCTATCCTATGGTGAGGCTATTAAAGAAGTTATGTTTTGTACCTGGGATGTTTTTGCAATTGGAAAATGAAATAAGTATCTAGTTGCCTATCAGCTCTTCTCCTCCTTGTTGTTTTTTTAAAAGAGAACATTTACTGTAGATTTGACAAACATCTATTGAATATCCTTATGTACTAGACACAGTTCTACTAGGTAATAGAAAATCATCAGTTAACAAAAATCAGCAATCCCTGTCCTCATTGGACTTTTAATACGGGAGAGAGGCAGAAAAAATATTTATGTAGTTATATTTAGGAAGTGATAACTGCTATAAAGAAAATAGAGCAGAGAAGAAAGTGTCAGAAATGTTGCTGGGTGGAGAGGGATTGCAGTTTTAAACAGGTGGGTGATCAGATAATGCATTGCTGAAGTGGTGACAGTTGAGTCAAAATCTGAAAGAGTACAGAAACCCTAAGGAGGAGGAGATCTGACTTGTGGAGTAATACCAAGGAGATCAGTGTCCCTGGATCAAAGTGAGTGAGAGTGAAATGAGGGTGAAATGAAATCTTTGAAGTAACTGTGCCAGATGGTGAAGGATCTGTTGTCTGGCCATTGAAAGATTTGCTCTTTCACTTTGAGCAGAGGTATTGTCCTAGTCACCTTGGGCTGCCATAACAAAATACCATAGACCGGGTGACTAAACAACAGAAGTATATTTTCTCATGGTTCTGGAGGCTAGACTAGAGCGCTGGTGGGGTCAGGCTCTGGTGAGGGCTCTTTTCCTGGCTTGCAGATGGCAGCCTCCTTGCAGTGTTCTCGCATGACAAAGAATGAGCAAGTTCTCAGGTGTATCTTGTTATAAAGCCCTAATCCCATCATGGGGGCCCCACCCTCATGACCTTATATAAACCTAATTACCTCCCAAGGTCCCATCTCCAAATACTATCTTATTAGGTGTTAGGTCTTCAGCATGTGCATTTTGGGGGATACAATTCAGTACATAGCAGGCAAGGTCTGGTGTGACTTACATTTTTAAAGAATCACATTGGCTGCCTCATGTAGAACAGACTATTGGGGGATGGGAGCAAAGATCAAAGCAGAGAGGAGCTACTGCATTAATCTAAGAAATAATGGTATATGGGACCAGAGTGGTAGTAGTGGAGGTGGTAAGAAGGGGGCAGATTCTGGATATATTTTAAAAGGAGAATCAACAGGATTTGCTGTGTTATAATAAGATTCAAATGAAGGCTTGATGTTAGCTACTTTCAACTGCAGTTTAGGAGACTGTGACAAGCTTGAAAAACTATGAGCTTTGTTTTGTTTTCCCATGTGGTTTACTTGCTTGTGTAGCTATAGTACAAAGGACCAATCTTTTTATACTTCCTTTTGTCTCTCTTGGTTATTTGAAATCAATATAGCAAGATACGTAATTTGTATTTTCTGTATTTTCTAACCAGAACAGCTGTATTTAGACTAAAATAATGATTGTAATAATCCTCTTCATGGAGTGAGTTGCTTCCTTCACTGGCTGTTGGTCAATCTGGAGTTAATTATAGCCAAATAGCAATCCAAAGCCCCAGAGAAAGGGAGGAACATTTCATTAAAGTCTAGCTGGGGATTACTGCTGACAGCAGCACTGCCAATCAGCCAATTTAAAAAAAAAGGTGACCATTCTCATAAACCTTAGAGCTAAAATAGCTTGTATTGAGATCAGAAGGTTTTTCAAAATAGCTTCATTTCAAGTAACTGAGACTGAGGGATAGTTATGTAAATTAGGGTTAACCATCTAAAAGTCAATTAAAGCAAAATACTATGTAAGAGAGAAATAGTCAAAATACATTTTTTTCTTTTCTTCCCAGTGTTATTGTAACAGTGTTCTTTATCCAGAACTTTTCAGACCTTACCATTGTAAAGACACTCCATGATTACTTATTGATTGATTATCATTTCTAAGGATTAGGAACTCTAAGTGGTTATTATAATCAGGACATCACTCCTTTACATTTTGCATTGAAGTCTTATGATCTTATCAGATAATGAAGCATAATAAAAATCTTTGCTGTAAACTATGGGATATCTGCTTGTAATTTTGTGGGGTAAGAAGCAGAGGTACTATTGTAACCTGAGTGAGATGTATTTATTTTGTTCACTTGCTTGTCTAATATAAAAGGCGAGTCCTCAGCACGTCGTATAAAATTCAACTTGGATGATTATTGAGAGATTATTACAAGAAAAAAGAACCTTAGAAAGAAATTTCCAGCCAATATGAAAGTGATATAATCATTTTAATAATAAATAATTTTTTATAAAATTGGCTATTTTTAAAAATCTTAAACTTATGACTTTATCCCTCATGACACTGGAGGGGTTTAGGATTTGGAATGAAACATTTTGAGACGTTTTAAATGAAAAATGTACTCCTGGCCCACCTTTTAGTCTTAAAGTCTTTCATTACTGTTTTTGAGAATTTTGATGCTGCTGCTCATATACTTTGAAATGTAAAGTAGACTGAAGTGTGAAACAAACCTTAGCCTGTAAGAGAGGTTGCAATACACAAGCGGAGCAAATCCAATATGGTAGTCGTAAATGAAGCCTTCAGGGCATCGCTGAAGCTTTTTAAAGGGTGATTTTGAAAGAAAGAGTGAGTCCCAAATGCCATTTTTTAGTTGGAGGAATTTTAATGGTTTGTAACTTAGATTTATTCTTTATTGGCTTTATTTTTTTTCCTTATGGGTTCTGTCTTCGTATGGTAAATAATTCACAAATGACCTAGAATGTGTCTTCAGCAGCATAGAATAGGATGTTTTTAAGCTTTTAAATTGTTTAGCTATTCTTTTTATTTTACAGACTGAAAAATATTCACGAAGCCATAAAATAATTGGTAGGTTGATGATGTTTAGGATCATTTAGCTTCTTAAATACATTGAGATATACCGTGTCAATTTTTATTAGTATTAATAGAGGTAGCTGGTAAATGGTATGAAACTTGATGAGCCAAACTTCTCTAGTGGACAAAACCAACATTCCATGTCTGTAGCAGAAATTTGGGCATAATTTCTTATACCTATTGCTATGGATTGAATTGTGTCTCCCCAAATTTTATATGTTGAAGCGCTAAAGCCTAATGTAACTGTATTGAAATAGAGGGTAACTGAGTGGTAATTAGGAGGCTTTATTAAGGCCAAATTAGGTCATTAACATGGAATCCTAATGTGATAGAACTATTGCGTTTCTAAGAGGAAGAGAGATCTCTCTCTCTCTGTGTCTCTGCCATGTGAGGACAAAGCAAGAGGATGGCCATCTATCAGCCAGGAACAGAGTCATCACCAGAACTTGATCATGCTGGCACCCTGATCTCACACTTTTACCCTCTAGAACTATAAGAAAATACATTTCTACTGTTTAAGCCACCAGGTCTATGGTATTTTGTCACATAAACCTAAGCTGACTAATACACCTATGTAAGGCTTGGATCATTTTGCTGAGATTTGTAGTAAAGAATGCCAGTGAGGACATGGCCAAAATAAAGAGTATGGCAACCACATGAATTACTCAGCTCTTTCAGTCACAATTCCATTTTGTCCGAATTACTTTGATAATTTCAGAAGAAATTATTGATCTACTTCCTTAAATATCTTTTACTCTGTGTCATCCCTCCTTCTGATTTATAGTGAAAAAATATGTGATAGAAAAAAATTTTCATAATGTAAAGACGCCTCCATAATCAATATCACAATGATCAGCAAACTTTTCTCTGTAAAAGGCCAGAGAGAAAACATTTTCAGCTGTGTAAACTATACAATCTCAGTTACAATTATGCCACTCTGCCAGCAGCCATAGACAAAATATACATGAATTGATGTGGTTGTGTTCCAATAACATCTTGTTTACTAAAACAGATGGTTGGCCAGAATTGACCCATGGACTACAGTTTGCTGAGCCCTGCATTACTTGGTAACCCCTTTAGTTTAATAATATAAAAATTACAAATCTCTGAAAGGCACTTATTCAAGATTTATTTTTCTACATTTTTGTACATGCTTGAGAATCAAACTAAACTGGCACATTTAAAATAACTAGTACATTTTTTTCCTTTTAAGGGCATCCATTTGCTTATAAATATGTGCAGATTCATCACATTAATGGAATTTACATTTGTATTAATAAACACCATATACTATATATACTATGTATCAATTTATTACATACATTTAAAAATTATACACTACACATTTGTATACAAATTTATTTATATATACTGATTGAATGCTAATGTTTCATATATTGTATATTTATATTCAATATGACATATTTACGCAAAGACTCATGTTGCTTCATGTTATTTTACATTCTCACCCGAAGTGAATAATGTCAGGAAAACCTGAATTTTTTGTCAGAATTAACACTTATTTTCCTCTGCAACCTCTAATAATGCTTCAAACTAAGATGGAAGATAGAGAATAACTGCTAATCATATAGACATTTGAATCAGGTGACTGGACTTAAATCTCAGATTTATGTATCTAATAATAATGCATATTATTGATAGAATGCTGGTTTTCAAATTACTAAGTCCAAGCCTCATGCGTAGGCCACTGCAGTCCCTGTTTCAGAGCTTGGGCCCAAGAAAAGTGGTCCTCTGTGTAGTAGAGCTATCCTTGAGAAATGCAGGGTGTGGGAGGCAAGGGCAGTGAGGGGAGTGCATAAACAAACAGTGAATCTCAGAGAACACATAACACGTTTCAGAATCTGTCACATTTTTAAACCTAACAAATGGTAAAATTGAAGATCTGTTCCCACAGTGTCAGATTTTGTATATCTGTTGTCAAACATATCAGTCACTGAAGATATGAGATGAAGAAAACTACAAATAAATGATCACAAAAAAGAAAATACGCTGATCCTTATTCTTGGATGGTGGTTGATTTATTCTGATCGGTATAATGCTGTGTTATAGTTGACATTTTTTTTGTACAGAGCCTAGAGAATAAATCTTAGAATGTTGAGCTGAGATGTGAAGTATGTTACAAGTATCATAAAGATATTACTATGAATTTCATGAAAATATTAAATCTTGCTATTAATAAGTCTTATTTCTTTCAAAAATATAGTGGACTCATGGTTAATATATCAATCCAACTCTCATGCATTTTCTTTCTGCAATCCTTCACTGGGAGACAATGAATGGATTGGAATTAGAGCTAGTAACTGTAAACGTGTACACCTGGCTCATACAAACATAGGTATATATTACCCATTATGTGCATTGAGGTTGACAAGTTTAAGAAATATGGTTTGGACAATTAATTCCATTGACTTGGAGACCTTAAAATGAACCATTATCAGGCTTACTTTATCATGCTTAATTTAAGTTTGTTAAGTCACCAGAGTCTAATAAATGGTGCAAGACAATACTTTCTGAGCTCTCAAATTCTAAACACAGAGAAATTTGATTAATAGTCCAATTAACAGTAGATTCTGGAAATGCCACTTACAACAGGATTTAAAGGAGATCCTTAGGGCAGCAAGTATTTCTGCCATGAATTGCACACCTTTTACCTCCCAACACCATAACAAACTGCCTAAGAGATCAGTACAAGGAAGAACACCATAATTATATTAATTAGCCTTCCCCAGAGAGATGATTAATTCATTATCATCATAATCTCAAACATCCCAGGGCATCCCTTATCACCTTGAGTCTTTTTCACATATATATGTGCACATTCCTTAATCTGATTCAAGTTCACGTCTTCTGTTCCAGACTCTCCCATTCTGCCCATTGAAACTCCCCTATGCAAATCCCCCTATGCCCTTAACTTCTATAAATGTTTTGTTTACTTTTTAACTCTTCCTGAAACTTGGCTATATGTTGAAGACACTTTTTCCCCTGTCACTCTCTCAAGTGTGGGCAATTTTCCCTTTACATCTTGCAGCATACAAGCCTACAAGTGGTATAGGTGTCATATTGTTGAGAGCGAATTCCAGGTTGCTATTTATCTTTGCCACCTTCCTAAAATCTCTGGCTACCTGACTGGATGTAGGTGACGTATGCCTCCTGCTTCCTCATCTTGGTTGAATTAATCTACTGTTACCTCCCAGGAATCATATTTCACCAAATGGTGTTTTCTTAAATGTCTTTTAAATTAAAAAATTTTACATATGTATTGCTTACAACATGATGCTTGGAAATATGTATACATTGTGGAATGTCTAAGTCTAATCAAGCTAATTGACATATGCATTACCTAACATAGTTATTATTTTTTTGTGGTGAGGATACTTAAAATATACATTCTTAGCAAATACAATATGTTGTTCTTACCTATAGTCTCCATGTTGTACAATAGATCTCTTGAAGTTGTTGCTCCTAACTGAAATTTTGTATCCTTTGACCAACGTCTTCCCAACCTTCTCCCTCCTTCTCCAATGAGGTTACTGATGAACCTGAAACACTGACTTTCCATCACTCCTCTATCATCCTTATTGGTGGCTTCAGTATTCACATTGATGACCCCTCCAACACCCTTGAGAGGCCTTAATCTTCTCAGTTCTATGGATCTTCATTGCCCCCCATTCAGTTCACAGTCATATCCTGGACCCTGTCATTTCCAATAACTGTATCACCTTGAAACATCTTCATTTCAAACATCCTACTCTGCTTGCAGTCTCCTATCTTTGTAGCCTTGTTCTTCCAGTTTTTCTGCTCCAACAACTTGTCACCCTCCTTCTCCCTAGAATTCCCAACCTACTAATCCTACATATTTTCAGGATCATGACTCATCTCATATCCTCCATTTCATTTCATCCAGGTTAGATGATATAATATATCATTGTATCATTCCTTTGCTTTCATCTTCAACTCTTTTGTGCCTATCACTCTCACCTGAAAACATCTACCCTTGTTAAATCCTACTCTATGCTTATTCTATGCCTGCATTGACTTGATGACTTGATCATGGTATTTACTTTAAATTTATGACTACATAGTAAAGTGAGCCCTTAATCATTCTACATTTCTGTAATTATTTAGCTTTACTATTCTCCAAGAAAACAATCTCACATCTTTTTCCCTCCCTTCAAACCTCTAGTATACTCTTCCCTTCCTCAATCTTAGCCAATGACCTGGATATTTATTTCATTTTTTTTTTGTTTTACAAAAGCAATCAAAAGTAAATTCCTTCTCTTATCTAGCTGCATCTGTACTCATATATCTTGTGTTCCCTCCTGGTATGCCATGTATGAATTTTCTGTACACTTATAGAGGCCAATTCCTCCAAAATGGTCTTGACCCTATGTCCTCTGGATGCTTTTAAAACTTTGCTCTAAAAATTATCCACTCTTTCTCACATCATCAGGTCCCCACTCTTCCAACTAAATTATCTTTAAACAAACAGGCTTCAATATACCCTGTTTTAAGCAAATAAGAAACATTTCCTGATCTTGATTGCCCCTTTAGCTATGGTTTCTCTGTTACTGTTAATAGCATATTCTTCAGAATGTTTTCTCTACAGTGTCCATTCTTTACCTCCCATTATCCTTTGAGCTCTCTTTAATCAGGCCTTGAGTTTTGCCTGGGCTCTAAGTTTGCTGTGTAATGGTCAGCTAAGAGCCCTATTTTACTTGGCCCCTCTATAGCCTATAGGAGAGTTGTTCACTCACTCTTTCAAGACTTTATTCTCGGCCAGGTGCGATGGCTCACACCTGTAATCTCAGCACTTTGGGAGGCTGAGGCGGGTGGATCATGAGGTCAAGAAATCGAGACCATCCTGGCCAACATGGGGAAACCCCATCTCTACTAAAAATACAAAAATTAGCTGGGCATGATGGTGCATGCCTGTACTCCCAGCTACTTGGGAGGCTGAGGTGGGAGAATCGCTTGAACCTGGGAGGCAGAGGTTGCAGTGAGCCGAGATTGCGCTGCTACACTCTAGCCTGGCAGCAGAGCGAGACTCCATCTCAAAACAAACAAACAAACAAACAAAAAACAAAAAAACTTTATTCTCTTGGCTCTTGGAATGGTACACCAGTTTCTTCTTACCTCACTGGCTATTCCTTCTCAGACTCCTTTCCTGTGTACTTCTTATTTTCCCAATGTTTATATATTTGATATTCCAAGAATGGACTCCTTGGTCTCTTCTTTTCTCTAGTGTATCTCTCTCTATTGATCTTATTCAGTACTGTGGCTTTGAAGCCACCTGTATGCTGATGCATTTATATCTTCACGTCCGACCTCTGTGGACTCTAATTTCTTATTTGAAATTTCCAATGTGAAATTCAAATGCAAACATTTCAAACACAGAACTCTTCTTTCACCCGTCAAGCCTACTCTTCTACCTTTTTCATTTTCGTAAACGGCAAACCCATGCATCAGGCTGCTCTTGTAAAACAGAATCAGAGTCATCCTTGATTCATATTTCCTGTATACCTTTTATGTAATCTATCAGCAAATCCTACAGGTTTTTGCCTTAAAAATAATCTCATGTTTTACTAATTCTCCACATTTTCGCTGCTATTCCAAGTCACCAAGCCATCACCTTTTTCCTCCTGGACTATTGCAACAGCTTCTAAATTACTCTTCTTACTTGAACTTTTGCAACTTTTCCTATTGTCCATTCTATTGTCAAACAACAACCAAGAGTAAACCTTTAAAAACACAAGTCACGCTACATGAGTATCTTCCTCTATTTCTTCCTATCAAATTTAAAACAAGTCCTCACATCAGCCTATGAGGCCCTCCACCATCTAATCCCTGTTACCTTGCTGACCCAACCCACCATTCTCCTTGTGCTCACCCCTCCCTATTGATACAATCTTTTTATGCTTATTTGAATGCATCACTTTTATTTCCCTCAGAAACTTTACATTGTCATTCCCTTGGTCTGAAATGCTTTTCACTAGAAATGTATTTTGGAAATATGTTCAAGTGCTACTTTCTGAGAGAGAGAGAGAGAGACAAAGAGAGGCATAGAAACATCCCCTGATGACATTATCAAAAGTAACTGCCCATTAGAACCTTTTTGGCATTTTTTAAATTAATTAATTAATTTATTTATTTATTATTATCATACTTTAAGTTTTAGGGTACATGTGCACAATGTGCAGGTTAGTTACACATGTATACATATGCCATGCTGGTGCGCTGCACCCACTAACTCGTCATCTAGCATTAGGTATATCTCCCAATGCTATCCCTCCCCCCTCCCCCAACCCCACAACAGTCCCCAGAGTGTGATGTTCCCCTTCCTGTGTCCATGTGTTCTCATTGTTCAATTCCCACCTATGAGTGAGAATATGAGGTGTTTGGTTTTTTGTTCTTGTGATAGTTTACTGAGAATGATGATTTCCAATTTCATCCATGTCCCTACAAAGGACATGAACTCATCCTTTTTTATGGCTGCATAGTATTCCATGGTGTATATGTGCCACATTTTCTTAATCCAGTCTATCATTGTTGGACATTTGGATTGGTTCCAAGTCTTTGCTATTGTGAATAATGCTGCAATAAACATACGTGTGCATGTGTCTTTATAGCAGCATGATTTATAGTCCTCTGGGTATATACCCAGTAATGGGATGGCTGGGTCAAATGGTATTTCTAGTTCTAGATCCCTGAGGAATCGCCACTTTTTGTCATTTTTTATAGCATTTATTACGTTCCATTGTATTATGTACTTTGCCATTTATATAGCAGTGTCTATTTATTCAATTGAAAGTTTCATGAGGACAAGAATTTTATCACGATATTCTTAATGTTTCCAACAGTACTTGACATATGGTAGATGTTTAACAAATATGCATTAGATAAGAGAATTATCAAAATATCAGTGTTTTGTTTCAAATTACTTCTGACTTAGTCTTTTCTATAAGAAATTTGAACAACTTTTCAATTACTTTAAGTCAGCAGAACAGCATTTTTAATAAATTAAATCTTATTTGGGGTCCCTATGAAGACAACAAATGGAAGCAGAGCTTCTCTGGTTAATGGGAGTGAGGGATTGGTAGGGCATCCCTCACTCTACCCATCTTCCAGAGGTGCAGATTAAGTTGTTAGATGCTTTACGTTAATATAACCATTTTTACTAGTCCAAGCTTGACATATTTACAAATTAATAGAAAAATTAAAACTCTAAGGCAGGGTTCCCCAACCCCCAGGCTGGTGCCAGTCCATGGCCTGGTAGGAACTGGGCCTCTCAGTGGGAGGTGGCCAGTGAGCATTACTGCCAGAGCTCTGCCTCCTCTCAGATCAGTGGTGGCACTAGATTCTCATAGGAGCACAAACCCTACTGTGAACTGCCCATGCAAGGGATCTTTAGGTTGCATACTCCTTATGAGAATCTAATTCCTGATGATCTGAGATGAAATAGTTTCATCCTGAAGCCATCCCATACCCCCACCTCTGTCTGTGGAAAAATTATCTTCCACAAAACTGGTCCCCGAAGCCAAAAAGGCTGGGAACGTCTGCTTTAAGTATTATCTGAAGGCTAATGTTAGAAAAATCTTCACAGAGTGGCTTAATAGAAACTTACAAACATTAGATCATGAAATTGAGTTTGCAAGAGAGGAATATCAATTTTTATTTGGAAAGTACTAACCATTTTATCCAGCAAGTGGGTCATTTTCCAATTTCTAGAATAATCTGACTCTAAATTTGCTAATATTTTATTTATTTAATAATAATAAACTACTCTTGTGCTGCTTGTAAACATATAGGAAACAGAGATGTTTTACTTATTATTCACATAAGAACATAAATGTCAATGTTTCAAATTCTATTTCTCACCAAGAAACTGATTTTTATCATGAAAAACACTATAGTTCTTGGCAAAAGTGAAAATTTTCACACAGAAAGTTTAAATTAAACCCAGTTTGTAATTATTGAGACATATAAGCTCAAAAATAACTTTCTTTCACTGGATTTTAGATGATTTCTGCATGTTTAGTTAAAAATCTTGTTGTTTTTTTCGTTCTGATTCTTTATTAAAGTGTAGTTATTCTTGTAACTTTAAAAACTAGGCTACTTTTTAAAAAAAGAGTAAACTTTCAATGATAAATGACTGACAGATTTCTAGATTCTTTATTGCCTCTGTATCTCAATTTTCTGTGGTCTATTTTAAAATGTAGATGAATAAGCTATCAAGGGATAAAATGGAGTGCCATGATTTCAGTTTTAATTTCCCACTCTGCCACTAACTCACTCTTTAATCTTGGGCAAAAATCTCTCTGGACCTCAGTTTTTTAATCTAATAAATGGGTATCTTATGATTTGTTATATTCTTTTTGTCTAGGGTATTGACAACTGGGTGTCAAGCCTTTTGAGTAAGAAAGTCACTTATTGGGTGAATATAGAGTAGATACCTATATTAAAATTTTCTATCTGATTAGGCAAGGGTATCTGCTTGTATATTAGTAAAATGAATTTTTACAGTGAAAATTTACTTATAGGACACTACAGCAGAAGGTATTTTATACAGTGTTCAAGTTTATTAATATTAAAATTATTCCTTGGTTTTTGAGAGTTATTACATGGCAATGTGAGAAACTAGGTGTTGGTATTAATTACTGTTGGTACGAGCAATTCTTTTGCTCAAAGAAGAGATACATCTTGGACTACGCCTACATTTAATTTAATATGTAAGTGTAAGCAAAATCAGGTTTTACATACTGACAAATAAAAATTCTCAGTGTAAACTGGTGTTTTTTATGCCCATTAGCAGTTATGCACTGAGGGAGCTTTCATTTATAGATATTAGATATTCTCAAACCTTGGGAGAGTAGTGAGGACTTTGCAGAGATACTGGCAGAAATACCTTTCAAGCTATTACCATGTATTTATAAGTAACTTTAGGAAACCAGATCTGTAGTTTTAGAGATTTTAAATAAACCATGTTAGAACTGAATTACAGGTTGCATGTATTGTTAAACCACATATTTTATTTTATTGTACGTTGTATACTATTCAGTCTTAAGAAAAAGTTTGTCTTAATTAGAGAAGCTATGATTTCCAAAACACTTTGCGTGTTGAATAATGTTCTCTTGTGTCTTCTTACCTAGAGCACTTTACTTATTTGCTTAAAGAAGTGACTTTCAATTATAAAAGAAGAAAATGGAGTAAAATAATTTCTTCTTCTTGGGTTACTATATTTTATATACAGTTAAGATAAATGCACTCCAATGTGCTGAGAATATTTAGGGAATTTTTTATAAAATAAAATATTTTAAGATGGTCCTATTTAGCCAATTTCTCCTTTTTTTCTATGCTTAACTCTTTATTCAGCTCTACTTGTTTTCTAAAAGAGTTACAGTAGGAAAAAATGTAAAAATGAGAGAATGATTTTTAACCATTTTATAAACTTTTAAGTGATATTTGGCTTTTGGTGGGTATTTGTCTTGTTTAAAGGCAGATCTCTATGACAGTTTTGCTTTCTCAATTTCTCATTAAGGAGTTAATACATACCTAATACTAACTACGGCAACAATAATAGCTAACACCCACTGAGGTCTTGCTATATACAAGGCTCTTGCTTAACATGCATTATCTCATTTAATTCTTACATCCTTATGTGGTAATTACTAACATTATCCTCATTTTACTAATGAGGAAATTTTAAAGAGGTTGAGCAGCTTGCCTAGAATCACATTTGAAGCAAGTGGAAAAGTTAAGGTTTGCACCCAAGTAATGCACTCCAGAGCCAGCAACTGACCATTACATCAACAGAGAAGTCTGTGTTTTCCTTTACACTGGCAATTGACAATTTAAAAATGTAATTAAAATGAACAAGTTCACATCAACAACAGATTTTCATAAAATACCCAGTGATGTAATTAATAAGAAATGTTTGAACCTTATATTCAATGCCATTTAAACATCTATGTAAATTATTTTTTATATCATCTTATAATAAAGTTGGGAACTTAACAGAGTGATCCTGAAGTTTGGTTGTAATAATAGAAATAGATGAGCAAGGAGGAACCACGACCATTTGGAAAGAGAATAGTAATAACTTGGGTTGGAGAGTGTTTGCCTTTCTAGATATGAATAGTAAGCTATTAGGTGGAATTGATTGCCTGGGATGAGTAACATCTTTTTCTCTGTTTCAGTATTTTGAACACTTTAAAATGTTTTTGGTAGTGGGTTTGAAGCTTAAAATGGTTACTACTACTGATTTTCTTGATGGTATTCCATTATACTTACCTTTTTTTGAGATTCTCCAGCTATTTCCTTAACAAGTCTTTATTAGTTTTTAGGGCTGCTGTAGAAAAGTACCACAAACTGGCTGGCTAAAACAACAGAAATTGATTGTCTCATAGCTCTGGAGGCCAAAATTCCAGATCAAGGTGTTGGTAGGATTGGTTTCTTTTGAGGGCTGTGAGGAATAATCTGTCCTAGGGGTGTCCAATCTTTTGGCTTCCCTGGGCCATGTTGGAAGAAGAATTGTTTTGGGTCACACATGAAATTCACTAACACTAATGACAGCTGATGAGCTAAAAAAAAAACCGCAAAAAAAAAATCTCATAATGTTTTAAGAAAGTTTGCAAATTTGTGTTGGGCCACATTCAAAGCCATCCTGGGCTGTAGACAGCACATGGGCTGCAGGTTGGACAAGCTTGTTCTATCCCATGCCTCTCTCTTGGCTTCTAGGGGCATGGTGGCCATCTTTGGTGTTCCTTGGTCTGGGGAAGCATTACTTCAATCTCTGCCTTTATCTTTTAGTGGCATCCTTCCTGTGCATGTCTTCCTACTGCCTGGGTCTGTCCCTTTGTCAAAATTTTCTCTTTTTATATCGACACCAGTCATATTGAATCAGGGCCCACCCTAATGATATCATCTTAAGTTGATCCTGTGCAAAGACTATTTCCAAGTAAGGTCACATTCACAGGTACTGAGGGTTAGGATGTCAACTTCTTTCTGCAGACCACAATTACATACATAAAAATATCCCATTCTAGTTTTAATGATGCTAGATTTCTTATGAAATAGCCTCATTGATTTTTTTTTCTGTAGGGCACAACTTTTTTGTCCTTTATTTCCTAAGGTAAAAGGTAAGTAGTCCATGTTGGAGAGACCATCTGACTCTCATATGGTGGAGGTGTGAGTGTCTTCACTCTGTCTCAGAGTTGAGGACCAGCTCTAAGCTGATGACTACTTCCTCACGAATCTCCCTTTGCT
Source organism: Homo sapiens (assembly GCF_000001405.40). Lineage (NCBI taxonomy): Eukaryota > Metazoa > Chordata > Mammalia > Primates > Hominidae > Homo > Homo sapiens. The sequence goes on from NC_000012.12 coordinate 72,402,952, forward strand.
TCGTCCAATCTCATTATTTAGCCAGTTGGTACCTTCTCATTTGGTGATTCTGGCAGAAGATCACATACACAGTTTAGTTAAGCCTGGAAAAATCTGGTACCTATGATGGGCACTGGGGCAACAGAGGTGACTAATGTATAATAACCCCCAACACACTCGCATACATACATGCACACATGGGCCTCTCTCAGGAAGCTGACAATCTAGTGGCATGGACAAAGAGACACATGATACATAATGTGGCAAGGACCGAGATAAAAGCTTGTTTGGTTTGTTGTGAGAGCACAAAGGAGGGTCTCTTCCTTGAATAAATCATTGAGCTGAGTCTTGAAGAATGAAGGTGATGTGAGAAATACAGGGAACATTCAGGGCCTTTGTATTTATTTTTCAGACAAAATAATAAAATCAGACTAAATTATTTTGTCATCCTTTTTTCATCCAATACACTTTTGCATTGTTTGCTATGTGCCAAGCACAATTCTGTTTTACATATCTTTTTTTATTTCATTCTCACAGCAACCTGGTGAAACAGGTCCTAATATTTTTCACATATTTTCCGTGAGGAAACTGAGGCTCAGAAAAATTAAAAGCTTGCCTGGGATCCCTGGGATTCAATCCCAAGTTAGACTTACTCTAAATATTTATACTTGCCTTCAGGAAAAAATGTATTCCAAAACGAGAGCCAGGACTGCATTCCCAGGGACCTGGATTAGATGCTGGAGTAGAATAAGCCAGATCCAAAGGCAGCAGAATTTGAAATCAAAGGTTAAATAAGATTCTGGAATGATGCCAACATTGAAACCCAGCTAGGAAGTCCAAGCCTGACTTCTGTCTGAAGTGGATAGTCAGAATAGCAGAAGTCAACAGGAAGGAAACCAGCATTACCAGGTCAGATTATGGGGGCTCAGAGTGGAGTGGAGGGGGTAGGTCATAGTTGAAGATGGTTTTCAGCAGGCATTTCTGATTTTGACTATGGATAGGAAGAAAAATGTTAAGGAAATCAAGTTGACTTAGACGAAGTTTGTCGTTTTTACAAGTAAACAGAATGCACACAAGCACATCTTTGCCTCTGTGTGTGTGTGTCTGTGTTTCTATGATATGAGTACTCAGTATGTTGTACTAGTCGTACTAGCCAGATGTATTAGTCCGTTTTCAAGCTGCTGATAAAGACATAACCGAGGGCTGAGCTTGGTGGCTCATGCCTGTAATCCTAGCACTTTGGGAGGCTGAGGCGGGTGGATCACCTGAGCTCAGGAGTTCAAGACCAACCTGGGCAACATGATGAAACCCTGTCTCTACTAAAAACACAGAGAAAATTAGCCAGGCAAAAATTAGCTGGGCATGGTGACACACACCTGAAGTCCCAGCTGCTGCAGAGGCTGAGACAGGAGAATTGCTTGACCTGGCAGGCAGATGTTGCAGTGAGCTGAGATCATGCCACTGCACTCCAGCTTGGGCAGCCTGGGGAACAGAGTGAGATTCTGTCTCAAAAAACAAAACAAAACAAAACAAAAAACAAAAACACATCATAATAAGATTTGTTATAAAGGAAAGAGGTTTAATTGACTCACAGTTTCACATGACTGGGGAGGCCTCACAATCATGGCAGAAGGTGAAGGAAGAGCAAAGAAACATCTTACATGGTGGCTGGCAAAAAGAGTTTATGCAGGGAAACTCCTCTTTATAAAACCATCAGATCTCACGAAACTTACTATCATGACAACAGCACAAGAAAGACCTACCCTCATGATTCAATCACCTCCCATCAGGTCCTTCTCACCACACATGGGAATTATGGGAGCTACAATTCAATATGAGATTTGGGTGAGATCACAGCCAAACCATATCACCAGAGTATGCGGGTTAAAAGTCTTACCTCTGCTACTTCTGAGATATGTAACCATGGGCAAGTTTGTTATCCTGTCAGTGCCTTGTCTATAAAATGAGGATAATAATACTATCTGCATGTAAATCACATAGACCAATACCTAGTGTACAATAACTTCATAATTAACAGTAGCTATGGATTAGCTGTGATAAATTCTTGAAGGAGATTGTAATGAGGGAGACAGATCTAAGTAACAAATTACAGTATAATTATAATGATTATTTCTTGAGTGCCTACTATGTTTAATGTGTGTGCTAAGGACTTTTAGGGGTTAATTCCACTTAATCCTTATCATTAGCTGTTTTTACAAAAGACAAAACTGAGACAATAAGGGGAATCATGTATAGATATATCTGATAGAGCACTATCCCAAGACATCGTAACTTGGCTGTGGGTGAGGGAACAGATTATGTAAGACTTCATAGAGGAGATAATGTTTAATTTTTTATCTATGAACTTGTAGAATATTTGTTTATAACTTGCCTATTTTTGTTCATTTAAATGGATCTCTCCATAGATCATTGTGTTTACTATGTTTATGATGTCTTCACTCTCTGCAATGGTCACCTACTGTGATTTGAGTTATCTGTACATTGGCATCTCTGGTCTCTAGCTGTACATTGGTATCTCTGGTCTCTAATATTTGCTTAATTCCTAATTATACTTTTCCCCAGAGCCACCACTACATTAAGTCTCTCTCATTGAAAGCTTCTGTTATTTCTTTAATTTTCTATCCAAAGTCTTCTCTCACATCTGTTCTCCAAGTGCTTGGACCACAGAAGAGAAAATTAAAAGCAAACAGAAAACCACTTGGCTACTTCAAAGACATTTTATGTAGATTGATTTAAAGCCTCACTAAAGCCTTTTTTGATATTTCCGAAAGGGAAAATGCTTGTTCAGTGTAAAGGAAAACATAATATTTTATGAAGATTATATTCTCAAGCAAGTTGGCAGTGTTACATATGTGAAACAGTTACAGAGGAAAAGATTCTGAGGGTGTAAATATCAAATAGATGGTCAGTATCCCTGTCTTCAATTCATATCACTATTACCTTTGCACAAACCTTTGCTTTGTAGGACTTGCCAACTGAAACAGCATTATCTCTGTCTCATTAACTCCCTCAATATTCAAACATTTCTTTAAAGGCTCACTAGCTCGTAGGACTTTTACTTCTCTCTTGCTTGAAAAAGGAGGAGGAGAAGAAGCAGCAGCTTAAGTAACTTGGCTGTTTTACTAGAAAGTATTCAGGAATCTAGGACTCTCAAGGCTTTTATATAAAATAATATGCTGTATTATTTCAAATACTGTGTTTACAAAGCTCATACTGCTAAAGATTAAAAGAATGTGCCGTGACAAATCTAATTCTGAGCAGGATTGCCTTCTCCAAAATAGATCAGTTGCATTGAAGTAGAACTTTTGATTTATGAGAATTAGGGCTTCCAGGGGAATTGTGTAGTACTCTATACGTCAACAGATTATTGTTTCCACTGAGAATCCCAGTGGAAGTCCAGCAAAGTCTAGGAAAAAATCTCTTGGCTTGTAATATTATTGCTTCTGAGCAGAGGTCAAGATACTTGGGCTTTTCTTCATGTAAGAGGCACTCTGCTTTTAGAGGAAATAGGGTTTATATTGTTAGGTGCTGGTTGTTTTAATAGGAGGTGAGTGGGGGTTCCTGGATCTTTTTGGTGAGGGTGAATTTTTTTCTTCTCCTAAGGGAGAGATTCTCTTAAGTTTTGTTAAATATCTCCTGATCTTTTAGAAAACTTTACTGCTGTCCTCCCACTCTTTTTTCTTCATGAGATACATATTTATTTCCCTTTGTTTTCACCGCTAGAGTTTGGATGTTTTTATAAATTAGTGATTATAAAGTTCCAACAATTTAGTACAATTTAGCACATCATGTAGTTTTACTTGTATCTTTTTAAAAATAGTAAATAGTTGGTGAAAATAGATACTAGCCTTCTCACCATAGCATTGCACAGATTACTGCTAAATGTGGTGTTAAAATTTAAAAAACCTCAAATTTTCATAATTTGTTTTTCATTATGACAAATGATATCAAAGTGTACAGAATGTTTCATTTTTGACTGAGGTGTGAAAACCATAGGAAGATGTCAAGTAAGAGGGCAGTTCGCTTCCCATGCAGAATTTACAAAATGACAAGCTGTTCCGTGAGTCTTGTACTCTTCAGCGTGATCAAGGCCTTAAAGAATCAGATTTGGGAGGATGAGTTGTCACAAAGGTTTTTTTTCAGAGAGCTACTGCTCTGTGGAGAGTTTCTATTCTGTTGCCTTTGGGAGAGAAATGGTCTGTTCTTTCCTCTGAAAGCTAGATGGGGAAGGCTTCAGTGAGACAACTTAGAACTTTAAATGAGTCTCCTGCAGTTGGAAGCTGTAGAGGACTCATGTCTGACTTGCATGTGAGAAAACTAAAGCAGAGGTTGAACTGAGGTCTGACTCCTGTCTGAGAAATCTGGAGGTCATAAAAGACTGAAAGATTGCTTTATGATAAAGCTAAGAGAGGGCTGATGTGTTTTGATTTACCTGCACTTCCAGAGTCACAGCAAGAGACGTGGAGCATTTTCCATTAGCTGGATCTAGGCTACACAGGAGAACGCTAGTGTGGAGTCATTTTAGAATTTGTCCAGTAGTCACCCTCAGAGGAAAGTGTCAAGGAGAGGTCATTTGGGTCAACATTTGCACTGGAATAAAACAACTAAAAGTGCTGCATACAATAGAAAATAAATGTGTTTTTAGAAATGTAAGATTTAAAAATATAGTAAAGATCTACCAAGTTAAACTATAAATAAAAACTGGAATCAGAACATAAGAGAATCATTTAATTCACTTTTCTCTGGGGATGTTTGTCAAATGAGTTAAACTTGAATAAAAGTGGAATAGGGTAAAGGGTAAACAAACACAGGGCGCACTCTAGGTGGAAGTGTAGTAGACAGCACATTTCTTATAGATCTGGGAACCCCAAGGAATGAGAAGTAATTAGAAGTAAACTAGCCTCCTTCTCCCAGTATCAAGCATTTGCTACGAACATGACCTTGATGCTTAGCAAAGCAGAAGAGGGAATTGCCTTAGTTTGTTTTCTGTTGCTGTACCAGAATACCACAGACTGGTAATTCATAAAGAAATATTTATGTCTTATAGTTCTGGAGGCTGGGAAGCCCAAGATGGAGGAGCCAGCATCTGTGAGGGCCTTCTTGCTGCATTATAACACAGCAGAAGGCATCACATTGTGACAGAGCAAGGGCAAGCAAGCTAGAAAAAACTTGCTTTTATAAGAAACCTACTTGCATGATACTAGAGTAACCACTCTCAGACAAGCACTCTCTAATAGTGACATTAATCTATTGATGAGGGCAACATACTCATTAATTCCTTAATTCATTCATAAGGAAAGAGGGATAAAGTTTCCAACACATGAACTTTTGAGGAACACAGTCAGAGCACAGCAGGAACTCTCAGAAAAGTTATAGCCACAACCTGGCTTTTGTGATTATTAAACACCCAAATTTACTAGACTGGTGGTTCTCAGTATCCATAGAAACCTAGCAAAAGTAAATTAAAATGTTTTTTGCAGAAAGGTATTTTCATCTTTATCCTTAAAGAGTACCTATAAACACACTTTTAAGGAAAATGACTAATGGGCACTCACTGGCAATAATAAACCAATCACACACAAATAAACAAGGGCACTAAAATTAAGAACCAGCTGACAAAACAAAACAAACAAATCTGCAAAGACTTGATATTATGATTATAGCCACAAGTTATAAAGTACCATGCCAACAATGTTTAAAGAAATAAAAATATTCCTATAATAGAATACTCGAAAAGTACCCTAGAAGACTGGACAAACCAAATCAAACTTTTACAAAAGAGAAATCCAATAGCTGAAAGTAAAAACTCAATAGATGAATCAGCCAGAATAATTGTTCTGAAGATCAGTCAGAATAACTTTCCAGAATGTAGCATGAAGAAGCAAAGAGATGAAAAAATATATAAAAGAGACAATAAAAAGCCATGGAGGGCAGAAAGAGAAAGTCTAATATATGAATTCTCATATATGTCTAATCGGAGTTCCAGAAGAGGAGGATAGAAAGAATAGAGAGGAGGAAATATTTGAGGAATTGTTGGCTGCAAATGTTCCTGAACAGAACAAATACTAGTCTATGGATTCAAGATGCCCAACAAATCTCAAGCATGACAGGTGGAAAGAAATACACACTTGAATATATCATAGTGAAGCATCAGTGCACCACATACAAGTTAAAATCTTAAAAGAAGCCAGAAATAAAAGAGAATTATCTCTAAAGGAATAGCAGCTAGACTGAGCTAACTTCTTAATAATAACAATAGAATCAGAAGAAAGGGAAATATATCATTATTGTATTAAATGGAAAAATGCTAAGGGAATTGCATACCCAGGGAAGATATATTTTAAGAATTTCAATAAATAAAATACAGTTTTCAGGGAGACACTGAGTTTTTCAACAACAGGTACTATCTAATAGAAATAGAAACACATGGTGGAGCAGATCCTATTAATCTATTAATATCAGTTTTTCTGGCTTCTTCTAATAGGGATCTTATGTCCTGATGACATTAGATTTGACCATATCACTTTATCAGACAATGCAATGTATGTGGAAGTGACAAGCAACACTCCTGAGCACTGTTGAAACTGGTTTCCCAGATAGAGGATGCCCCTTAAGCTTTGATTTTGAAATGAAGAGCACATTCAGCAGAGCTCTAGTTGATCCTCTATGGATGTAAATGTGACAGAAATAAACCTTTGTTACTGTAAGACAGTACAATTTTGGATTTACCTGTGATTGCAGTATGATTTGGAGATGTGATTTAGGCTGAAGGAAAATGATCCCAGAGGGGAAGTCTGGAAAGCAAACATAATGACAGGAAATTATAGACAAATATAAATAATATGAATTACTTAAAATGATAATAATGTACTGTGGGGCATAAAATAGAACCATAGTAACTGGTAATGATAACATATATATTGAGAGGGGAATAAATATAATTCAAGTGTTTGAAGGTCCTTGCATTATCCAGGAATAGGGCAGCAATTAAAATACTATAAAACTATCAAAAAAGAAGTTATCAATAAAGCCAAAAAGTCGATTTTCTAAAAAGAATAATAAAATTTACAAATATCTGTTGAGAATAATCAAGGAATAAGAAAGAATGTACAAATAATTTAAGGAATAAAAAGATCACAGATACCATACATATTAAAAATAATATTAGGGCTTTATTAATATTTCATGTCAATGGTTTTGACAGTTAAGTAAAATGAACAAATTCCTAGAAAAACAAACTTACTAATGTTGACAAACAAATATATATATATTAATAGTATTTTATCCATTAAGTAAACAAAATATGTTAAAATATTCCTACAAAGAACTCTGAGTTGAACTGGCTTTATTATTGAACTCTGTCATATTCTACCAAACAGTAAAATAATTTTTATACAGCTTCTTAAATATCAGTAGAAAAGAAGGAACATTTCCCAATTTATTTTATGAGGCCAGCATAACTTTAATATCAGAACCTAACACAGCCATTATAAAAGGTAAAATCATAGGTCTTTCTCATTTATGAACATTGATAAAAATTCTAAGCAAAATTTCGCAAATATAAAAATACACTGCAAAGTTGAATTTATTCTAGAAATGTGAAATTAGTTGGACATTAAAAAATCAATCAGTATAAATTAGCATAATTTAAAAAAGGAGAGAAAATATATGATTCTTTTAATAGAGGCAGAAAAACAATAAAAGTCAACATCTAGTTCATGACAAAACTTAGCAAATTAGGATCAGCATCATTAATATAATGAAAAATTATTTGCAAAAATTGCATAGCAGAATCAAACCTAAAATGACATTTAACATTTTCTCTTTTGGATCAGGAATCAGACAATGATGCTGGCTGGCTGTCCACCACTTCTAGTCAACATTACATGGGAAGCCTGACCCAAATAAGATAAGCAGATAAAAAAAAAAAAAAAGATTTGAGATTAAAAACAACATACAGGCCGGGCCCGGTGGCTCACGCCTGTAATCCCAGCCCTTTGGGAGGCCAAGGTGGGTGGATCACGAGGTCAGGAGATTGAGACCATCCTGGCTAACACAGTGAAACCACGTCTCTACTAAAAATACAAAAAAATACAAAAAAATTAGCTGGGCGTGGTGGCAGGCACCTGTAGTCCCAGCTACTCGGGAGGCTGAGGCAGGAGAATGGTGTGAACCCAGGAGGCGGAGCTTGCAGTGAGCCGAGATTGCGCCACTGCACTCCAGCCTAGGCGACAGAGCGAGACTCCATTTCAAAAAAAAAAAAAAAAAAACCATACAAAATTGCAACTGATAACATTTGGCATGATTCTATATAGAACATCAAAGAGATTCAACTATTATTACTAATGAGAATTCAATAAGGTGCATATTAATATACAGTAATGAATTGCATTTTTATATACCAGCAAAATAACAGTTAAAATGAGGTAATACACATTTTACTGTAACTTAAGAAAACATGAAGCAGTTGGGAATAAATCTAACAAAGATGTATAAGAATTCTGTGGAAAAAATATAAAAATTTATATTAAAATGACCGAAATAAACTTAGAACAAAAATTAATAGAGTAAAATATTAAAAATTATTAAAAATTTCAGTTCTATCTCAGTTGAGACAGAATTGATTTCTATATATTTAATGAATTTCAAATGGAATCTTAGCAGGCTCTTTTGTTCAATTCAACAAGCTTGTTCAAAAGGTATATGGGAACTTCAAAGGGTCAAGAAAAGCCAAGAAAATCTTAAAGGAATATAAGATGGGAAGAATTGACTTATCAGGTATCAAAACATATTTTAAAGTTATGTAATTATGAGTGGCATGGGGCTAGGCAAGTTGAGGAAAAGAACAGAGTAGAAAGCCCAAGAAGAAACCCACTTATTGAGGGATATTTGAGCAGTGGAAGAGATAACTTTGCAGATTAGTGGAAAAAGACAAACTTTTTAATAAATAATACTAGACCATTTGGATATCAAACTGAAATAAAATTAAAGTTGACACCTATCTCACACCATATAAAAACTGACCTTCATGCAGATTAAAGACTGAAATGTCAAAGGTCAAATACAAAGGTCTAGAAGATAATATAAGAGAATAATTTCAAGGTAGGAAAGTCTTTCTTATACAAGATATAAAACCCAGTACCTATAAATGAAAAGATTGACACATTGATTTGTATTAAAATTAACATCTGTCTATCAAAAAGACCCCGTTAAAAGTGTGGTAAGACAAATTACTTGGGGAAATTTTTAAAAATTTATATAACCCAAATCAGCCAAACAGAAAGACAAATATCCAGGACTTATAAAGACATACAAATCAGTAAGAAAAAGAGGCAACTTAAAAGAGAATATTCAAATGGTCAATGTGTATATAAAAAGATAACCAATTTTATTAATAATTAGAGAAATAATTCTGCAATGAAATGCTAATGTATTCTCATCTGGTTGGTAAAAATTATAAAATCCGACAATACCAGTCACTGGGGAGGTTGTAGCAAAACTCATTGCTAGTGGAAATGTAAACTATGCATCAATTTAGGAAGGTTTGTCATTATCTAGTAGAGTTGAAGATGGGCCTGTCCTATGATCCAGCAAGTTCATTCCTAAGTGTACTCTTGAGATACTCTTGGGCATGTACCTCTTCAAGGTATGTGGACAACAATGTTCAAAGCAGAACTGTTTATAATAGCCAAACACCAGAAAGAACTCGAGTGTAAGTAAATAGTAGAATGCTACAGTCACATAATGAACTAATAAAGCCAGGAACATGAATGAGCTATATCTAAAACATGTATAAGTCCCATAAAGATAGCTTTGAGCAGATGTTGAAATTCTCAAAATTATACACACTATGTAATTTCATGTATATGAAATTAAACAGCAGAACTAAATGGTTGTATATAGTTTGGGGGATGCATAACTAGGTAATACAATTTTAAAGAAAAATAAGGAAATGATGATCACAAATATCAGGGTTGTATTTACCTCTAAGGGGGAAGAAATGGGCAGTGATCGGGGTGGTGCACACTTGTGGGGTCATTGGTTATGAAGTGGTTTATTAAGTTCTTTTTCTTGACCCAGATGGTGATTATTTGGGAGGTTGCAACATATCATTATTTTTAAGATTACATTTGTGTTTTATATACTACTTCTATATATGTTATTTCATAATTAATAATTTTTAAAAGATCCAGTTAGGCAAAAACAAATCCACATAAGTGTCAGTGTTACTTTGCTACCCAGGCAATTCTATGGCATAATTTTTTTAAAAAAATTCTTTTCAGTCTGTGTTTATTTTGCAAACTATAGAATGATAGGTTTCTAGGCTTTTTAGGTGGAAGAGAACTTGAAGTTCTCTACAGCTAGCCATACCATCCAATATGGTAGCCACTAGCCACATGTGACTATTGAGCACTTGAAATGTGGCTAATTAAAATGTGTATCTGGATTTCTAAGATTCAGTATGAAAAAAGAATATAAAAAATCTTATTAATTTTTATATAGATTATATATGTAAAATAAAATGATATTTGGACTACATATATGGTTAAACCTTATTAAAATTATTATTAGCTCTACCTATTTCATTTTTTAAATATATCTACTAGAAATTTTAAACTATGTATGTAATTAATTTTATTTCTGAAAGATAATGTCAATCGAGCCTATTTTATAGATAAAAACGAGTCCCAAATATAGTAAATTGCTTGCCAAAAACTAATCTATTATAATTAATACACACATTAAATCTTAAAATTTTCCTGAGGTTTCTGGATATAAGAAAAGTTCATGAGCATCACCATCCTCCAAATCTAGATTGTCATACACTTATGGTAAAATCCAAAGAATTGTTGGCCTTGCTGTAGTACAAATTTGAGTTCAAATCCCAGCAACGTAGCTATGCCACTTTCATAAAGTTACTTAATTTAATAAGGTTTTCATTCCTTTGTTTATAAAATTGTGTGATATTAGATCACTAAGCAATTGCAACAATAAAATGAGATAAGTATGCTAGCTCTTAGTAAGGTGACTTTTAAAGAGTAAATCTTTTAAAGTGTATTTCACTTTAGTATTTATATAGGCTGCCTCTGTCAGAATTTTTCATTTGCTTGTATATTGTTTTGGGATTGAGGACTATTACTATTTGTGTTTTATTTTACTTCTACAAATGGATTCAAAGTTGCTGTAAGCAGATTTGAGGATACATGCTGACAGAAAGTTTCTAAACATGAAAAAATATTTGTATGACCGGGGTCAAATTTTAAAATCAATACTTTATAAACTGACGAGTTTTTAAGGAAGCAATGAAACTAGTTACTTTATAAATTAGTAGGGGGAAACATCAGAGCCCAGGAACACCTTTGGATAAATTTGAAAGACTAATGGAGACAAGAGAGACAACGAAATTCATGTGCTGTAATACTAACCCAATATTAGCTATTAGCTACTTGAGGTTATGCTTCTTTACATAGAATTAGAAGAAAAATAAAGAAAGAAGGATTAAAAAGACATTCATAGATTTTAGTTTTAAACAATGAATTGAAAAAGGCAAAGAATTTCTCAATAACAACTCTGTCGAATTAAGAATAGAGTAGGGTAATTGAATAAGGTCAGGAAGAAAGTGACTTAATTTGCAGTTATGTAAGCAATAGAGACCAGCATCTTGGCAGTAAGGCTATTAATTACTATAATAACCTACTAGAGGTGGCTAGCTGTAAAATTGCTTTCCCTAAAAGGCTTTCATTTGTATAGTGTTTCATTTTGGTAGAGACATGGAATGTATTAATTGATCTCTTCCTAGTATCTTCTAGAGTGAGGACAGGGAGAACATAATTTATTCATTTACTGCTCTTTGTTGATCTCTTTACATACATTAAACCATTAATTATTACAACATAGTCGTGATGGCAGTGTTACTATGCTTTTATTTTTAATGAAAAAACTGCGATTCAGAAAATTTAATGACTTAAATTTTTTAAATTGTCTAAAATCACATCATTAGTAAGGGACTAAACAAGGATTTGAGTTTAGTTATATTTATCTGACCTGAGGCCTATGCAGGCACTTCTGTCTTTGACAGGGGCTCCTACTGTTCGTTGGTTCATGAATCCGTATTTTAGTATTTTGGAAGTGGAGTCCTTGATACAAATTTATACAAATGAGCTCTCCATGTGATATCATGCTGCTTTGCATTGCCCAGCTCCTCAACACCTCACTTGGAGAACCACTGCTGCAGTTCATTAATGTATTACTTAGTTAAAAATATTTTTAGTTGTTATGCATACATAAGAGTTGTAATGGATATATAATAGTTGTACATATTTATGGGATATATGTGATATTTTGATACAGGCATACAATGTGTAATAGGAAAATCAGGGTAATTGGGGTATCCATCACCTCAAACATTTATCATTTTTTTTGTTAGGAACATTCTAATCATTCTTTGAGTTATTTTGAAATATACAACACATTATTATTAATTATAGTCACCCTATTGTGCTACCAAACACTAGATCTTATACCTTCTGTCTAACTATATTTTTGTTCCTTTAAACATCTCCTCTTCCTCCTTTCTGCTCCCCCTCCCCACTACCCTTCTCAGCCCCTGGTAATAATCATTCTACTGTCTCTCTCCATGAGTTCATTTTTTTTTTTTTGGCTCCCACATATGAGTGAGAACATGCACTATTTGTCTTCCTGTGCCTGACTTATTTCACTTAACACAATATGCTCCAGTGCCATCCACACTGTTGCAGATGATAGGATTTGTTTACTTTAAACGGCTGTATATTTCATTGTGTATATGTATCACATTTTCTTTATTCATTTGTTGATAGACATTTAGACTGATTCCATACCTTGGCTATTGTGCATAGCACTGCAGTAAACATGGGAGTGAGGAACTCTTTGCTATATTGATTTCCTTTTTTAAAAAAATGTATACCCAACAGTGGGATTGCTAGATGATATGGTGGCTCTATTTTTGTTTTTTGAGGCACCTCCATACTGCTCTCCATAGTGGCTGAATTAATTTACTTTACCATAAACAGTGTATGAAGATTCCCCTTTCTCCACGTCCTTGCCAGCATTTGTTATTGCCTGTTTTTTTGATAAATTTGTTATTGCCTGTTTTTTTTAACTTTGGTGAGATAATATCTCATTGTGGTTTTAATTTGCATTTCTCAGATGATTAGTGATGTTGTGCATTTTTCTATATTTCTGTTGCCATTTGTATGTCTTCTTTTGAGAAATGTCTATTCAGATTTTTGCCTATTTGAAACATTGGAATATTTGTTTTCTAAATATTGAAACATTTGAGCTCCTTATATATTCTGCTTTTTAATCTCTTGTCAGATGGGTAGCTTGCAAATATTTTCTCCCATTCTGTGCGTTGTCTCTTTGTTGATTGTTTCCTTTGCTGTGCAGAAGCTTTTTGGCTTTATGTGACCCCATTTTTTGCTTTTTTTTCTCTGTGCTTTTGAGGTCTTAGTCAAATAATCTTTACCCACACCAATGTCCTGGAGAGTTTCCCCAATGTTTACTTCTAATAGTTTCATAGTTTTAGGTCTAAGTCTTTAATTCATTTTGGTTTGACATCTGTGTATGGTGAGAGATAGAGGTCTAGTTTCATTCTTCTGCATATGGATGTCCAGGTTTTCCAGCACCATTTATTGAAGAGTGTCCTTTCTCCAAAGTAAGTTCTTGGCAACTTTGTCAAAAATAAGTTAGCTGTAAATATGTGGATTTATTTCTGGGTTCTCTATTCTGTTTCATTGGTCTATGTGTCTGTTTTTATACCTGTACCGTGCTGTTTAGTTATCGTAGCTTTGCAATATAATTTGAAGTTAGGTAATGTGATGCCTTCAGCATTGTCCTTTTTGCTCTGGATAGCTTTAGCTATTCTGTGCCTTTTGTGGTTCCATATAAATTTTAGGACTACTTTTCTATTTCTGTAAAGATATTTTGATTGGAGTTGCACTGAATCAGCAGATTGCTTTGCATAATATGGACATTTTAACAGTTTTGATTCTTCCAATCCATGAACATGGAATATCTGCCCCTTTTTTTGTGTTGTTTTTAATTTCTTTCATCAATATTTTACCATTTTCATTGTAGAGATCTTTTGTTTCTTTGGTTAAGTTAATTCCTGGGTATTTCATTTTATTTGTAGCTACTTTAAATGAGATTACTTTCTTGGTTTCTTTTTCAGATTGTTTGCTGTTAGCATATAGAAATTCTATTGCTTTTCATATGTTGATTTTGGGTCCTGGACTATTAACCTTTAAATGACAAGTGTAGTAATCACAAACAGGCTGGAACATAACTTTGATAGTCCTAAGTTTTAATATGTTATCTCAATAGACATGTAATTGGAATCGGTAGGAACTAAGCATTGGCAGAGATTAACAATTAGACTCTTTTTATTCTTCAAATTTCACATCTGCTTTGGCTTATTTGATTACTTTTTTAAATGCCCTGTACAGTCTGGGACAAGCCACAGCATTACTCAGTCTCTCTGTAAAACAATTGTGTTTTGCAAGTTGCCTGAAATTGATTCTATCTGTACCAAGTATAATATTGGTAATTTTGAATTTGATGTTATTTTTCAGAGGGGGAAAATTGTACTGGAAGGTGGGACTTTAGTAATGTTATTTACTTTATGTTATTCACATTAGTGCTCTGTGACAGATTTTTCCCCCAAATCACTGAGCTGTGTGATTCTATTTGGTGCATATAATTCATATTGTTACTGAAGTTTTTCCTAGCTTAATTCTGAATTTCCTAACCAACTAAATAAGCCTTAAGTACTTCTAGATCATCATAATTTCCTCAATACAAATATTAATAGGTTTTATTTTTTTAAGTTTACTGACCAGATTTCATTAGTCTTTCTCATATTTTCTTCTTTCTCAATTTCACGAGCAAATTCAGAACACATATTTTTTATTAAGTGCAGCAGAAAACTGTAGGTTTAATATATGGCCATTGTCTAGAAGACACTGTAAACTCAACTAAGATGTTTTGTGCTTTCAGATGTCCCAACTATTATTTTAAAAAATATTTTAGGCTTCAGGTTTTAAACTTATGCTGAAGTTTAAATCTTGCCATAATTCCTACTTTATTAATTCTTGCTATCAAAAATAACCAGCAGAGAGTTTGTTGCTCAATTTCTTTGAGGCATAAAGATGTGAATCAAAATTCGTTCTCAAGAGTAACTTTTAATTCTCACATTTATTCAGGCATGAATCAAAGTTTTCATTACTTCAGTGTTTCTCTTTTTGTGTTCAATTTTAGTGGCAGAATGTAAGGTAAATATTAATTAAGGATTAATTAATGTTAAGTTTAAGGATGACTTAAAATATGTGATATTTACTAGTAAAATGCCAATTTTTTTAAGATACATGCATATTTAAAATATTTAAAAGCTGTCATTTGCTTACAAGAGAAGTGTAATCTGCTTCAGGTTCTGATGAAGACATGCAATGCAAAATTATTGATTCTTTTCCTATGTGAATTTCTTCTTTGTCCTCCAGCTGTGTTACAAAAGTGAGTAAAATGGATTTTTAAAAAACTTTCCATAGAGACTGGTAAATTGATTTCCCCATCTTTTAAGAGGAAATCAGAGTGACAATAGAAAAACTTTCCATAGAGACTGGTAAATTGATTTCCCCATCTTTTAAGGGGAAATCAGAGTGACAATAGAACAGCTTTCATCGGAGGTACTCAAAGTGCTTTGCAAACATTGTTTCATTAATCCTCACACCAATAATTGGAAAACATTATTGTCCCAGTATTTCAGGTAAGAAAAATAAAATATAGAGAGGTCTTATTGTTTCAAATCATGTGCTGAGTCAGAGATCAAGTTTATAATAGAATTTTGTCTTTTGTTTCTGCTACCAAGGAACATTGCTGTGTTCTGTGCATTTTGATGCTAAAGAAGAAGAGAAGGCTTCAGAACAATCTCTATTATTAAAAAGTTATCCAAGGAAGCACATGGATAATGGTGATAAGCAGAAGTTACTTTATTTTCTTGGGATATAGAATGAGTAGTAGTACTGCTACTTCAACTGAAATCTAGGTAAAGAGATATTAAATTATAAAGGGAAAGGGGTAGGAAGTAATTCTAGGAAAAAGCAGCTTTGCCATCCAAGAGTTAATGAGGGTGGAGCTATTTAAACACTTAAGATGGAGACTCAAGAGTGAGTAGATGGATCTAGAGGAACAGAAAATAACACTAAATTCTGATAGTATAATTGGTGTTTAAAGAAACTGGTCTATTTATCCAGGAAGTTTCTTGTTGAAGTTGCTAGAGAAAAAATGTAAAAAGTTGTATACAAAATGATGGAAGAAGAGGTGTGTGACCAATTGTCTTAGTCCATTTTGTGTTGCTGTAAATAAATATCTGAGGCTAGGTAATTTATAAAGAACAGAGGTTTTTTGGCTCATGGTTCTGCAAGCTGTACAAGTATGGCACCAGCGTCTGCTCCTGGTGAGGGCCTCAGGAAGCTTTTAATCATAGTGGAAGGCAAAAGAGGAGAAGGCATGTCACATGGTGAGAGTGGGAGCAAGAGGGAGATGGGGAGTGTGCCATACACTTTTAAACAGCCAGACCTCATGAAAAATCATTCACTATCTCAAGAACAGAACCAAGGGAATGGTGCTAACCATTTATGAGAAATCTGCTCCCATGATACAGTCACCTCCCACCAGACCCCACATCCAACATTAGGGATTACATTTGGTGGGGAAAAATATCCAAACTATATCACTTTGTGATTAAGAAAAATACACTTACCTCCTATAAATTAGCAGATTAAGGGAGATAACTGATGTAAATAGTCTAGCAAATTGTGGTTACTTAATAATTAAATAAACATTAGTTGCCATGCACTTCCTTCCCAAACCAAGATGAATTGTATCCCAGTGAATTGCAGATTTTTGCTAGACTAGGCTAGTCACTGAAGAATCATGAAAATAAGAATGGAAATGGAGAAATGTCTCATTTTCCAAAGAAGCAAAATACAAATTAGCAAAACTGTAGTCAACAAATAAATAAAAACACGTGAAATTTTACAATACATTATTTCAAAGGTTTTCATCATGAATATAACAGAGGATCAGTCATCTCTATTAAGCAGTGCTTTTTTATTGGCCTCTGCATTCTGCTACATCCTACAGCTAGTATGAAACACCATCTGTAGATTCAGGCCACCCCATGTCTCTAAGATCAATACTAAAATTAGATTGAATGCAGTTGATCGTCTCTAGTTTAGAACTCTGACAGTTAGTATCTAGGCAGTCCAGCCCTAATTTTGGGAACTTTGGCCTTGTTTTGTTTCATATTCTTAATTCTTTATCTTAGCAGCAACTCCTGGTATTCTGATTTTCATAGAATGATGGTTAGGAGCTGAGGAAACAATCTTGGGACAGAAAGACTGTCTCATGTCTGGAAGGTGCAAACTATTTACATAAGCAACTATAAAGGACTTAGGACCTTTCTGATTCAAGCCAGTATTATATTCAATGGGTGTGGATCGTAAGATATATATGATATTATCCATGGTTCTTTGCATCATATGGGTTCTTAGTCATAGATAGGGGAATCTGAAAACTTCCTAAAAGCAGAGTTCATTTCTGGAGAGAAGGTCTTGGAAAAAGCTAAGGGGATTAAATTACCATTGAAATAGACTGGGTTCAATTCCACCAGAGTTTAGGGAATAAAACCAATCATATAGACTGACCACACAGATGGTATATAGGTATGCTGTTGATCAATTTCACACATATTGGGATTGACTTCATGTTTAGGGCATCAAATGTAGGGAATATATCTCAACTATTAGTAGCTAAACTCCCAACATACTCTCAAACAAAATTCTCAAACTTGGTTTAAAGCCTGGGCATGGCTCTGAACCTGTAGGTCGTAGACTTTTCATACACATAGCATGATTCCTAAATGCTGAATACCTCTTATGTATTGGATTCCTTTCTTACAGACTCATTATGGGATTGGTATGATTTTTTTTTTTTTTGAGATGGAGTCTTGCTTTGTCGCCCAGGCTGGAGTGCAGTGGCGCGATCTCAGCTCACTGCAAGCTCCACCTCCCAGGTGGGATTGGTATCATTTCTATACCAAATATGAACTAGGTTGAACGTTCCAGTTATCTCATTCTGCATAAGAAATCAACTCAGATTCAACCAACTCAAATTTATGTCTTGGAAATTTAATCCCCCATTAGTCACACATCAACCATTTTGTTACACTCATGAGTGTGTCACTTGTGTCTGCTCCACACTGTCTAAGGCTTCACTTGGGAGATCCTAGGGCTGGAGGTGACTCTTGAATGGCTGGGTTATAATTTGGAGGGTTCTTACTCATGTATCTGATAACTGGGCCAGCAGGACTTGAAGCCTGAGCTCAGCTGTGGCTGATGATATGAATAGGTACACATGGTCTCTCCATGCGGTTTGACTTTCTTACAGCATGGCAACTAGTTCTATAGGTAATGGCCAGAGAAGAAGCACAGAGAAAGATCTGTCTGAGAACCAAGGCAGGAGATGTAGGGCTTCTTTTGATCTGGCCTCTAAAGTTATGTGGCATTATTTTTGCTACATTTTGTTGGTTACAACGGAGTCTGTAAAACAAGCCACATTCAAAGGGAAGGGAATTTGCAAAATCATGTCGTAAAAGACCTTGTGGGGTGGGAGACATTGCTGTGGGAATTTTTGAAAAAATATCTGCCACACTATACTGATTTTAGTTAGTTTGATTATTATTATTTTGGACAATGAGTTAAAGTGGAAACATCTAGGAAAACCTGCAAGTCACTTCTTGATGCACACTTAGGCTTTTTTAGACTCATCTATGTTGGTAGAAGCGTTCAGTTGTGAGTTTTAAAATCATCACTGCCTCTGGATATTTTTGTAAAAGCTGTAATGGTTATATACTCATATATCCTATTAAATAGAAATGTGTAAACCAGAATGCCAAATATTTTATGGTCCAGAGACAATGGATATATATGTCTACCTTTATTCCTTAATATTGACATAGAATTATTGTTATAAAAAGTCCTGTGTCTTTTTCATAGCTACAATGATTTATTATCTCCCATCCTGAAACAATGGTTTAAAATGTTCTGGGGTTGCTGCTATTCATTTCTCATATTATATTATTAATTTTTTATCTATAGAAATGTAGTGGTTTCTTTTCAGTTGGGGTTTTATGGTTCTTAGAACAGTGACAAGAGGAGAAAATCTTGCCAATTTTGTGCTGCACCTTAAAACAATGACAAGAGTTTGAAAATTGGTTAACTTGCAGTCAGAATCACGCTGAAATGGAAAGGGGTAACGTTTATTACAACTTCCACCATTTAATTTTTGCATTCCCTACACAATCCTTCAAGTCTATATTCATTAGCTGTGAAAGAAAAGATACTGTGTTCTGGTTTATGCAGTGTCAAGTGACTGAGACATTTTGATTAACAATCTATCTTTTCAATTCTAGCGTGTGATTTACTCTTGGAGAGAAATGGATTAAGATAGGAATAGTAATTTTTATGGCTTCATAACTGAGTAATACAAAATGGTTTCATTTCAATATTATATCTTTAAAGAATACAGAATGCTTTCATTTTATTCTTCCTGGAACAAATTTATTTCTGTGAGAGAAAGCAAATATGCGCAAGAAATAGTTGACTGTTTCTGTAACGTCTTCAGCTTCTTGACCTTCTGAGTGAAGATAAATTTACTTAGATTGGTCCTTTGCTATGGTTTGAATGTGTCCCTCAGAATTTATGTCTTGAAAATGTAATCCTGAATGTGACCATGTTTTTGAATAGGGCCTAATCAAAGGTGTTTAGGTCATGAGGGCTCTTTCATTATAAGAAGGGCTTGTGGGAGTGGCTTCTCATCTTTGTGCTCTTGCTCTTTCACTTTCTACTATGTAATGACCCAAGACCTTGATCATGGACTCCCCAGCCTCCAGAACTGTCAACCAATAAATTTATATTCATTATAAGTTACCCAGTCCCAGGTATTTTATTATAGCAGCAGAAAATGTACTGAGATCCTCAGAGTTCTTTTGACTCTGGTCCTATCCTCATTTCCAAACTTCTTTTAGAATCCAAACTTATTTTTATGAATTCTTCCTTATGTTAAAACTATACTTATTTATACTTTCGTGATCACAATGTACATGATCCCTGACTTATGATGGTTCTATTTAAGATTTTTCAACCTTATGATGGTACAGAAGTGGAACACATTTAATAACTAGGCTAAGCTATGGTGTTTGGTAGGTTAGTATATTACATGAATTTTCAACTACAATATTTTCAGCTTATTATATGTTTATTGAGATGCAACTCCATTCTAAGTTCAGGAGCATCTCTATTTACCTTCCTCTTTACATAGGATCAAAGTGTTCCTCCGTTTGAGCTACTTTTCTTCTCTCAAGACCACCAGTCAAAAATTCTGTTCATCTCTTAAGGTGGTGTGGATTTTCTGATTCCCACTCATAACGCAGCAAGAGAAGCCTAGAAATCTGCATTTTTAACAGACAACAAAGTGATTCTGATATGGGTGTTCTCTCCACAACACCTTGAGGAACTTTAATTCATGGATTGTTGTAGGCACAATAGTGTTCTTCTAATGACATCCTCATTCTTATCTTGGGAAACTATGGGTATGTTATATTAAATGGCAAAGGGAGTTTAAGATTGCAAATAGGTAGTTGCTATTTGCAATCAGTTTACTAAGGTTGCGTATCAGTTTAACTTTAAATGGGGAGATCTCCTAGATTGTCTAGGTGTGTTGCGTGTAATCGGAAGAGTCTTTAAAAGTGGAAGAGGAAGCAGAAGAGGAATCAGAGAGGCAATGTGATGATGGAAGCAGAGTTCAGAGTGATGTCATGTGAGAGGCAATAGACCTGTCCTTGCTGACTTTGAAGATGGAGGGGGAGGGCCACTAGCTAAGGACCTCTAGAAGCTGCAAAGAAGACAAGAAACAGATTTGCCCCTTGTACTGGTTTCCTAGAGCTGCTATAATCAAGTACCACAAACTGGATAACCACGTACCACAAAATTTTAAAGAATCTGTTCAAATTATTTGAAAGAAACTGGGTAGCTCAAAACAACAAATGTGTTTTCTCAAGATCTAGAGGTTAACAGCCCAAAACTAAGGTGTCAATAGGGGCATCCATGCTCTGAGACTCTGGGTGGGATCTTCCCTTGCCTCTCCCTGGCTTCTGGTGGTGGCCATTGATACTTGGTGGTCCTTGGCTTGCCGTTGCCACACTCCAGTCTCTGCCTCTGTCATCACATGACATTCTTCCTGTGTGTCTCTGTCTTTCATGCTGTTTTCCTTTTCTTATAAGAATATCAATCATATTGGATTAAGCCCTCACTAATGACCCCATCTTAAATTGCTTCAAGCTACAAAGACCCTATTTCTAAATAAGATCTTATTCACAAGTACCACGGGTTAGGGCTTCAACATAAAAGAATACAAGGCTGCCAGTGCCTTGCTTTTAGCCCAGTGAGACCTGTGTTGGACTTATAATCTCCAGAATTATAAGATAATCAATTTGTATTGTTTTAAGCCACTAAATTTGTGTTAACTTGTTATGCAGCAGTTGTAGAAAACTAACATGTGGACCAACTCAAATGCTGTCTCATCTCTGAAGTTCCTGTCTCTTCTTGCTAAATTCCATCTATTCTCCCAGTATGAACTTGTTTATACTTCTCTAAATAAACTTTCATCACTATTCATTCCCTTGTTGTTTTGTTATGTTTTCTGTCTCTTTAATATTAAAGCTTTTGGGGGAAGAAGCAATTTATTCTTTGTATCTCTTTGAGAAACTAACACCCAATATTCATTTAATAAGTATTTAGTAAAAGAATGCTAAATTCTCATCTAGAACATAATTCCTTTGTCATAGTGTCAAGTAATTCTTTGAGAGTAGCTACTTTGAAACTAAAATAAAACTGAAATCACAGAAAGGAAAAAAAAGTCCTTTAAAAATGTGCTATGAAACCATTTTATAGTCACTTTTACTGTAGTTACTATAAAAACTTTACTCCTATAAGAAAAATGAAAGCAATATTGGTCTTGTGTTTTACATTGAATTTTATTTTAGGTTTAGGATAGCTTTATAAAAAGACCAATTGCATATGCATTTTGTTGTTGTTGTTAGTTTGGCTTACTCTAAAAGTGCTTTGCAAGGGTAGCACAGAAAATGTTGGCATGCCATTGGCCAGCAAAACCCTCAATGATTTTCCTTGGAAAACTATAGCGGATTGGTTTTATTTTTCTGTTTGGTTCCATTTCTATAGCTAATGCAACCTGCATATTCCTGATTAAATATGCCTGCTGAATATAGTTAATATCAGTCTTTATTTTTGTCTGATTGCTAAGTGTTCCACAGTACACTTAGATGTTTTGAAATTCTTACTTATAGAAGAATTTGAAAGAATCTGTTAACCAGATCATCTGTGTGTATGTCTGTTGGCTCTATTTAGCTTAACAGTTTTACTTTAAGTTATCAAATCAATTGAGTTTCCATAATTTGTCTTCAGTTAAGATCCTCACCTTGTGACAGCTGATGGAATGCTCTTGAAATAATTTTTCATCACAGGATTGAAGATAAGTGGAAAAAACAACATTTTTCTCTCATCTCAATTCTAAGTAACCATTTATTTAAGATTTTAAAGTTTCTGCACCATATTTCTGTTTCCAACATATGTTGAAAGAAGCAACTTAAAAAAATACCTTGATACTGCCTCTTATTATTGGTGGAAATTAACTAATTAACTAGTTAATTAATTAATTTACTATTTGGTTTTTACTATGGATCTGTGACAAATAAACCATACTCAGTGTTGTAGTTAACAACAGCAGCAGCAACAACAACAAGAATAAATTTTCACTAAAGAAACTAAGAAGCTCTAGAACTATTGGAGTTGCCAAAACTCATATATATATATAATTACAAAAGGTCAAAAAAAAGCAAGACATCAACTGTTCATGCCAATAAACCCTGGTGACAGAATCAAACAATTGAAATGGTGGCAGGGATGATGCTCACATTATTAAGGACTCATTTGCTATAGTGTGCAGTAAATGGAATTATATACAAGTGACAATAGTATGTATAACCTCTCAATAATTCAAGGTAGATTTGGTTTTAAAGTATGTGGTAACATGTTATTGGAGATATTCTAAATAAACATATGTCTGATTAACTGAAGAAATAATCACACTGGCATACATATTTTCTCTCTGTTGAATGTAATAAGATTGTTATTGTATTTTAATGGGTAAAATATGTTTGTAAGAATATGTCATATATCCTGGGGCTTCCTATTCTACATGTTTATAAATTGCAAACTTTATGTGAAAGAGACTGAGGAAAGTTTAAAACTCCTAAGAAAAACACTTTCAGTGGTTTAATTATATAGTACAACTGAAGATTTAAAAAATAACAACAGTAATAAATACTTCACATTGTGCCAGACTCTTTTATAAATAATCTACATGTATCTACTCCATTAATCCTAACAAAAAGCTTAAGAGGTAGGAACTATTATTTTCCTAATTTTCTAGGTGAGGGACCTGAAGACTAGAAATAGTAGGTTACTTGCCAAAGGCCACTTATGTGGTAGGTGGTAGAGACAGGACAAGTTCAACAGCTATTTACTGAGGGCCTTTATATGTTAGGTAGTGTTATAGGTGCTAGAGATATGGCAACCACAAAAATAGATTTAAAAAAAAAAAACCAGTTCTTATGTAATTTACATTCTTAGGGATTATTTTTCCTGGGAAAAGGGACCAGTTATTAAGAGGTAAAAAACATCCTTTAGTAAGCCACAGAGAAAATGACTGCTAATACTCCATTTGTTGTTTTTGTTTTTTTCTCATATTTTTATCATTGCCAAACTTTTTTCTCCATGAAAAGAAAATTCATCTTCATCTTAATCATTCTTACTTTAGTGGCCAAATGTCACCTATATATAGTCCTGACCCTCGGATGGCCCAGAACACTAAAAGTTGATCTTCAGTTATCTAGGTTCTAAAACAAATTCTGGCAAATTATATTATCTGGGCTCTACAGCAGTGGTGTATTTGAGGCTTTGTGGACCATACAGTCTCTGTGGCAACTATGCTGTTGTAGCCTGAAAGTACCCATAGACAATCTGTAAATGAATGGATGTGGCCAAATTTGGCCCTTCAGGTTATAGTTTGCCAACCCCTGATCTAGACAGTAGTATTACCTGGAGACAGAGGCTTCTTTCTGATTTGCGTATGTGTGCCATAGTGCCTGATCTACAAGGGGCCCTGATTATGGGCACTTTCTTCTCCCCTAGAACTCTCTCCACAGCTCTTTAACATCTCTTTTCCCCAGGACCCAGCCTGTCCTCTTCAGCTTCTGGGTAGGGCTGTAAGTCATTTCATCCTACTGTGTTTCACATTGTGTAGTATGATTTCCTTTTAGCTCATGGAAGATATCACACTAGAGGACTCATTGGTTTTTACTCTTCTTTTAGTCTCAATACCGTCTCCCTCTATTTGTATCCCTGGCTTTTGTTGGGGAAGGGGAAGAAGGGATTAGAGAAAAGTATCACTACATGGGATATTTTACACTCTTTCTCGTATTGACTTAATGATCGTTATTGCAATTCACGTAAGTTATTGAGAATGCAAAACTAGCACCAAAAGGGTGGCTTTAATATATTTAGATAACATAAGGGGAACATACTACCAATAGAGCTCTGTGATGATAGAATAATCTGCCATCTGAGATTGAGAGAGCCCTTTCTCTTTATGTGTTCATGCACAGGCTGGATGGCCATATGTTCAAGATGCTGTGAAGGTAATTCTTTTATTAGATCATAAATTAGATAGACTATTGATTTCTAAATCCCACATCTGTGCCAGATTGGCTGTGTCAGAATGACTTGGACAACGTGAGGAAAACTCACATTCCTAGGTCATACCTCCAGAAGTGTAGTAGGTTTAAGATGAAGTCAAGTGACCTGTTTTATAAAACTCCACATCATTGTTAGGCACTCAGACAACATAGAACAAAGAAAAAATAAATGTTAACAGTAGTCGTAACAGCCAGACATTATTCCTTTTAATATTTTGGTTCATATTATTTCATATATATGTAATTTTGCAAAGATTGAATCTGTTTATTCATTGTGTTATACCCTTATAAAATTTGTCCTAACCATATACTAGGGACATATTTCTATGTCATTTCATAGGAAGAAATGTATCTACATAATGACTCTTGATGACAAGCACAGCATATTGTAAGATTTGGATATATTGAATTATTTCACTAATTCCATAATGTGTCATTTGTAAGCAATGTGATGGTGAATACTAATATGTGTGTGTTTAAGATGTATTTCTATCTCTATATCTATGCCTATATCTGTGGGTGTATATGTATATATTTATGTAATTGCTGAAAGGCTTTTGTCAATTATGGATAAAGTATCAAAAAGGATCAAGCATTCTGTCTTTGAATGACAAAGCCTGGATTAATTTTTTTAATATAACAGCTTTATTGAGCTTTATTTTTAATATAACAGCTTTATTTTTATTTCTTTTTTATTAGAAGGGAGGAATAAATGCTGTGCAGGCCATTAAAATATATGTAAAATTCACATGCTATACAACTAACCCATTTAGATTGTACAATCAAATGATTTTTGGTATATTCACAACATGTGTAGTCATCGCCAGCAGAATTTCAGAGATTTTTTACAACCTAAAAAGGAAACCCCATTTTCTTCACCATACCCTGCCTAAAAATCTAACTACGAATCTACTTTATATCTGTGCAGCTTTGCCTGTTATAGACACTTTATATAAATAAGAGTCATTCAATATGTGGTTTTGGTGGCTGGCTCTTTTCACTTAGCATATGTTTCAAAGTTCATTCATGTGCCACATGAATCAGTATCTAATTAATCCTTATGGCTAAAATTCCATTGTATAGATATACCACGTTTTGTGACACATATACACCATGGAATACTATGCAGCCATAAAAAAGGATGAGCTTGTGTCCTTTGCAGGGACATGGATGAAGCTGGAAACCATCATTCTCAGCAAACTATCACAAGATCAGAAAACCAAACACTGCATGTTCTCACTTGTAAGTGAGAGTTGAACAATGAGAACACATGGACACAGGGAGGGGAACATCATACACCAGGGCCTGTTGGTGGGTCAGGGGAAAGGAGAGGGATAGCATTAGAAGAAATACCTAATGTAGCTGACAGGTTGATGGGTGCAGCAAACCACCATGACATGTGTATACCTATGTAACAAAACGTTACGTTCTGCACACGTAACCCAGAATTTAAAGCATAATAATAATAATAATAATAATAATAATAATAATTTACAGAGAAGGAAATTAAAAAAAGATATACCACATTTTATTTATCCATTCATCAGGTGAGGGACATTTACATGTTTCTACTTTCTGGCTATTATGAATAATGCTGCTATGAATATTCATGTACGTGTTATTCTGTGGATATGTATTTTCATTGTTTTTGGGTCTATGGCTAGGGGTGGAATTACTGGATCATGTGGGAACTCTATATTTAACTTTTGAAGGATCTGCCAGACTATCTTCCAAAGTGTCTGGACCATTCTACATTCCAGCCACCAGTATTGAGGGTTCCAATTTTTATACATCCTTGCAAACACTTGTTATTATCTGTCTTTTCAATTATAGCCTACTTAGTGTAAAGTGGAATCTCATCATAGTTTGATTGGCATCCGATGGCTAATGATGTTGAGCATCTTTTCATGTATATATTGGCCATTCATATATCTTTGGAGAAATATTTATTCAGATCTTTGTCAATTTTTAAATTTTTTTATTATTGAGTTGTAAGAATAATTTGTATATTCTACATAGAAGTCCCTTATCAGATAGATATAAAAGATTTTCTAATATTTTCTTAAATTCTGTGGGTTGTCTTTTCACTTTCTTGATGATATACTTTAAAGCACAAAATTTTTAATTTTGATGAAATATGATTTAGCTATGTTTTGTTGTTGTTTTGTTTTTGGTGTCATATCTAAAAAGGTTTTGCCTAACTCAAGGTCACTGTATTTTTGTTCAAGAATTTTATGGTTTTAGCTCTTATGTTTATGTCTATAATCCATTTTTATTACTAGTTGTTTTGGTGCATGATGTGAATGTAAGAAAATCCAACTTCATTCTTTTGCATATATATATATGCAATATATATATGTATGTGTGTGTATATATATAATACACACATATAAAACTGTTGTGTGTGTGTATATATGTATATATATGTATATATACATGTATACATATATACATGTATATATACATGTATACATATATACATATATACGTATATATACATGTATATATATACACACACGTATATATATGTGCATATATATACATGTATATATATACACACACGTATATATATGTGTATATATATACACACATATATATATACACACACACAACAGTTTTTCTGATACCAGTTTTTGAAAAAACTAATTCCACATTGGATTGTCACTGCATTCTTGTGAAAAAATTAATTTACCATAAATATGAGGATTGTTTTCTGAACTCTGCATTCTGTCCCCCTGATCTATATGTCTGTCCTTATCCTGGTACTACAAGTGATTTATTGATTCCTATTACCTTAAAGTGTTACTACTCCAACTTTATTAGTCTTTTTCATGGTCATTTTGGCAACTTTGGATCCCTCAAATTAACATATGAGTTTTAGGATCAGCTTGTCAGTTTTTGCTAAGAAACAAGTTGGGATTTTGATAGAGAATGCTTTGAATCTCTGTGTCAGGCTGGAGAGTATTGTAATTGTAATATCATGTATTTTGATCCATAAACATAGGATGCTTTTTAAAACTAATTTAGGTATTTAATAGGTTCTTTAATTTTCTCAATATTTTATAGTTTCAGTATACACATTTTGCATTTCTTTTGTCAAATTTATCTCTAAGCATTTTACTCTTTTTGATGTTATTGTAGATGGAATTGTCTTCTCAATTTTATTTTTGGATTGCTCATTTCTGACGTATAGAAATACAGCTTATTTTTTGCATATTGAACTTATAGCTAGTAATCTTGCTGAACTATTTTATTAGTCTTTGTTTTTTAGTGAATTTCTTAGGATTTTTGTTTAGTTTATTTTAATAGTACACTTACAGAAATAGCACTCAAGAAAGACAACATTAAAAACATGAACTTGTGTGTAGGACAACTCAGAAAAGTATAGTCAATGGATGTACTATACTTTTTACTGTATGATAAAAAATGCCACAAACACCATTTAGTTGCTGTTAATAAGAAATTTACTTATTTTAAAAACAAGCCAAATGCTGACATTGTGAAGAAAAATTTAACAGGTTTATCTGTGGTTGTTATGAAGTTGAACTGCTGAAACTTGATCACTGAAATATTTTGACTTACATTAATGCTTTATGTCCCCACATTTACATTAAAAATTCACATGATGAAAATGGAAAAAATGCCACTATCTGATTTCTGTCTGCTATTTTTCCACTCACAATCTTATATTTAGGTACCTTTTGATTCTATGGGGAAAAAATACCTAATGTTCAGATCTGCCAATAACAGGAAGAAGAGGTTTTTTTTTTTTTGAGAATGAAATGTTCCTCATCATAGTGGATTCTTAGGCATATACTTCATGTATGTGGCCTATTATCTGTTTATTGGCATACCTGTTACATGTTTTACATGGATAGCACACAGGTTGATGTCCTCAAAAAGGTCAACCAGATAGGTCTCACTTCCTGCAAAGCTCCAATAGCTGCTCTCAGGAAGCACAGATGTTTTGAAGTTCTGAGCAATTTCTTGGACCAGATGCTGGAAGAGAAATTTGCTAATCAGAAGTTCAGTGGACTTCTGATAACAAATTTCACGGAGTGCCACAGTACCAGGCCTGTAACTATGAGGTTTCTTTCTTCCTCCCATAGAGGGTTCACTTTTGTAGCCAGTTGCTTCCTAGGTTCTTTACCATCGTTGATTTGCAGGTGGTCTGCTTTATATAAGCCATGGTATAGAGACTTCCTTTCTTACCCCCTTTCTCCTTTGCTGGGCCTGATCGGAGGCATTAGAGAGCAACAGCATTACAGAGACTGTGTGGCGGACTGCTGGGTCTGTCCCGCAGACCCTGGCAGACAGATGAAATGAGTACTCATACATGGGTATGCAGTTTAAGAGCAGCTAGGTGACTACCTGGCTCTAGTGGCCAGAGAACAGCCCCAAGAAGCTGGAGCTGCTTGCTTTTATTCAGTGCAGGCACAATGCCGAAAACCTGGAGCCAACACAACCTGTAGCTAATTAACATTTATTGTTCCCCTTTCAGGCAGTGTCACATGTGCAGATGATCAAAGGTCAGTTCCTGGTCAATATAAGTAAACAACCTTGTTTAAGATAAATTCCCCCACAGTCCCTTGTACCTACTCCTTGCCGTCTGCCTCAGGGTTATAGGACAGCTGCCTTCAGCTATTCTCCCCGGGGTCTGCAGAACCTTCCGGCCTTTCAGAAGGTTTGTGTCTTTTCCCTATAGTTTTTCCCACCACTCTGACCCATCCCCCACAGCAGACATCATCAAACATTTGAAGCCTGGGTTTGGGGATCCAGGGAGAAGCGATTGGGAGGAGAAGAAGCAGGTGAACCCCTGGCATACAGGCGTCTTGGGTCACAGTGGGGCATTAGGATTTTCTATGTAAAATGTCATGTCTTTTGCGAATAGGGACAGTTTTTCTTTCTAATACAGATGCCTTTCATTTTTTTGCTTAGTTAATCTAGCTAGAACCTCCAGAATAATGGTGAATAGAAGTGGAGAGAGTGAAAAATCCTTATCTTGTTCTTGATCTTAGGGGAAAGCATTTCGTCTCTTACCATTAGGTATATTGATAGGTGGAGGTTTTTCATAGATTCCCTTTATTAGATTGAAGAAGTTACTACCTGTGTATTTTTTTATTATTATGAAAGGGTGCTAGATATTTTCAAATGCTTTTAATGCTTCTATTGAGACGACCATGTGAGTTTTGCCCTTTATTTATATAGTGTATTACAGTAATAATTTTTGGATTTTAAAGCAATCTTTCCTTACTGGGATAAGTGATATTTAGCCATGGTATATAATCATTTTGATTTGTTTCAGGATTTGGTTTGCTAGCATGTTGATGATGATTTTTTTTGTCTATACTCATGAGATGTTGATCTATACATTTCCTTTCTTCTGAAGTATTGTCTGCTTGTGGTCCCAGAGTAATACAGCCTTCATAGAATGACTTGGGAATTTTCTATTTGTGAAGAACTGATATTAATTCTTTAAACATCTGGTCCAATTAAATTCAGGCCCCTTTGTGGGAGTAATTTAGGGTCCAGTCTTTGAGGTTTGGTTTGACTCTAGTTTATGGGTGGGGTGCTGGACAGGAGCAGTAGCCTTTAGTCTCCTTGGCTTGCCTCCCCGAGCATGGAGCCTTTGCCCTATGAGCAAGCTGAAGAAAAGGCAATTAGGAACTCACTATTTTCAGCCTCTCACATTCAGTAGTGACTGAAAATTTAATCTAGGGATTCAGAATATATCCAGAATGGCAGCATGAGGAGCTCCATAAAACCCCTCCTCTCACACATACAAAAGCTACCTGATGAAAATTATAAAAACAGCAAACATATGAAGTATTTGGAAGTTGGTCAAAGACATATGACAAATAAACTTTTTTTTTTTTTTCTTGAGACATACAGAGTCTGGCTCTGGTAGAGTCTCCCTTACAAGTGGGGAATGGATGTAGAAAGAAGGCTCTTAATCTCTTGTTACACATGCCTGGAATTTAGCCTCTTCAACATGGAGCTGGTGATGAGGAGAATTCCTGGAAGCCTGTCTCTCCAGAGGTGATACTGTAGCCGTTGACTGAGAGCTGGTGGGAAAGAAAGCCATGAGCTCCGTGTACCTGCCTGTTGTGGAGCTAAAATGGGGAGCTGAACTGGGGAGAGGAGTGAGTGAGGACTGAAGTGCCACAGACAATCACCGTTCTACTGTGACTTAGTAAATTTTCTTAAATAAATGTTTCTTGGCCAGGCACAGTGGCTCACGCCTATAGTCTCAGCACTTTGGGAGGCTGAGGTGGGTAGATCACTTAAAGTCAGGAGTTCAAGAGCAGCCTGGCCAACATAGTGAAACCCTGTCTCTACTAAAAATACAAAAATTAGCCGAGCATGGTGGACCACACCTGTGGTCCCAGCTACTTGGGAGGCTGAGGCAGGAGAATCACTTGACCCCGGGAGGCAGAGGTTGCAGTTAGCCAAGATGGCACCACTGCACTCCAGCCTGGGCAACAGAGCCAGACTCTCTATGTCTCAAAAAAAAAAAAAAAAAAAAAGTTTATCATATGTCTTTGACCAACTTCCAAATACTTTATATGTTTGCTGTTTTTATAATTTTCATCAGGTAAGTTTTGTGTGTGTGAGAGGAGTGGTTTTATGGAGCTCCTCATGCTGCCATTCTGGATATATTCTGAATTCCTAGATTAGATTTTCAGTCACTACTGAAATTCCTGTCAAAAATAAAGGTTTCTCAACAATTATTACAATAAGCCAATTTGGAGAAGCATGGACAAAATGACCTTGTACGTTCTTTCTAATAATAAGGTCCCATGCTCTAATGCATGTCTCTTGAAATCCAGGCTATATCTGTCTTCAGGAAAATGAAAGGCTCATGTAAATAAATAATAAATATTCACCTCTGTACACCTAATCTCTGTCCACTCCCAACACTTTCACACTCTGATGGGAACTAATCTCACTACTTGTGCTCCTTCTGTTGTTCCCCCACGTTTCTCCCTTTGTAAGGTACATGCCATTCCAGAGTAGAACAAGGGCATGAAGAGTTGTTCTTTGAACTACAGAACAGGGATGGCAACTTTAAATAGTTTAAATCTACCTTACATGTTTAAATGTGTAGTGGGAATTACAGAACTGAGGACTGAGGCAAATTGGAGGTGTATCACCCTGTAAAGGGAAAATTTCTTCTTCATCAGCAGTTCATTGTTTCCATGTGAATATGTTTGTCATTGTTGTCAGATCTTGTCATTCTTCAAGAGGAGCTAGAAATGGAGATTTATTTGATATGAGAAAGCTCCCAATTTGTAAACTGCTGACTACGAATTAAAAAGAAATTCTGCAGATTAAGCAAAACATGACTGCCATCTATACCTGGTCCCCAGATGAATTAGTATCTAGTTTAATAATCTGTCCTCCCCAAAGGATGGAAATCTGCCATCAAACTGCAGCAGTTTATTTAACTAATCTTGTAGGGACTGATGTCTTTTGATGTCAGTTCATTGGCATTGGTGTTCTTTCAGCTTGAGAGCTCCCTGTGTTGGGGAGTTAGACGATATCTAAACCAGGATGGGAAGCTATTCAGGATTGAATGATTCTCACCTAAATCTCTTCCAATCAGGTTTGTTACATGTTTGATTCGAATATGAAAAAAATCTTCTAATTTTATGATGTTAATAACATTGTCCTATTTTTATTGAAAAAAAATCCATAATACTCTTGATTCAATTTTGTGGATACAGTACTTGAATGAAAATAGATCCCAGGCTGGGATTTTTTTTTTTTTTTTGTCAGAGTTTTTTCTATCCACTGTTGCCTTGTGTTTGTTCTGAATGAAGTGGTTAATAGGCATTTTTTCATAATTCTTTGGGGATGCAATGTAAGAATTTATTATTATTAGCTGTTACAAAAGAAACATATAATTTTGAACTAATGACCTGATAGGTAAAGGAATAAATAGCTGCAATATGAAAACCAGTTCCCAAGGACATAATTATGCTATTACAAGCAAACAGAGAGTTTCTGGCTCATTAAGTAGGAAAGGCAAAAAAAAGTATAAATGATAAAGGTGAAAATTTAATTTTTTAACTTGTTCACATATGTTCCCCCCGACCAATAAAAACAAGAGGGAGGATTTTTACACTAAATGAAAATATAAACGACAAAGCCTTTCTTAAATACAGGGTCATGTATCTGTCCTTAGGTGTTTTATTATGTGGAGTTTGACCTTTATTTAAAGAGCATCTCTGTTCAATGATAATTGATGGTGCTTTAAGTGAGAGTTTATGACAGTACTTCTACTTATTGAAAATATTTTTCTTAAGGTGAACATGCTCTTTTTTGACTTTTTTCCTAGCTTAACCTTTGAAAATATCATGTCAGTTTAGTTGAATTTATAGACTTAATTAACATGTCGTGGTTTTTTCCAGGTCATTAATAAAATATAGAGTATGACCAGACTTATTTCTAATCCTGATAGTATACCAGCTTGTTTAATTTAATTAATCATTTCTTCTTTTTTGTCCTGTTGGTTTTTAGACTGATTTGATTATCATAATACGAACCTATTAAAATTTTTAGATGTTCTTCATATAAAGACATTATGCTAATTATTTAATTGGGATTATTTTGAAGGACTACAAAGTAATGGTGTTTGTTTTTGTTTTGTTTATTCAAGTGTACCCCATCTCCTGAACTTCACAGGGTTCTTATAAGGTCAGGCCCAGTGATAAGACATGGCCTGGGAATAAATACTAATGCTTCCTTTAAGAATATTCCAAGAGAATCAGCCTGACATACTCTTCAGAATTAATGATCTTGAACTTTCAAGATCATTGACGTACTGAAGAACCGAGAGTAATTTTTCTGAATTTTCTTATTGTCTTGCTTTTAGAAGCCCATTCTGTTTGGTGCTTTCCAGGAAACATCTGGACAGGTGAAAAATACAGTATGAACTCCTTTCTTAAGTGTCATAATTGAACAATCTTATGAGCTTCATAGATCCTAGAACATTACAGCAAAATTTTAACACGCAACTACCCATCATCTACATATTAAATTTATATTCATATCTGGGCATCCTCCATTATCTATTTTCAAGTATTTATATTTTCAGTTTATACATGTCCTATTCAAGCTAAATACATATATCTATATCCCCTTATATTTGAGGGAGGCAGGAATACAAGCCAGACTGAGCACAATTTTTGCTTACACTACTTACTAGCTATAGCACGATCTTGGACAAGTTTGGACAAGTTTATTAATTTCTCTGTTTCCCTATGTATAAAATAGCAATGATAATAAAAGTATCTTCTTATTAATTTGGGTTTTGAGGATTAAATAAGTTAATAGGAGTAAAGCACTTCAAATATTGCCTTACAGAGAATGAATGCTCTGTGGAAGTAATTATTATCTTGCCTCTTTGTAACCTTTCCTTTTCCCTAAGTGAATTCAAAGTTCATCCCTCTCTGATCTTCTGTCACCCATTTCTCCGTTGTATTTCTGCTAATCCAACTTTTGTCCATGCGATATTTTAGGCTTTTAAAAGAGGTCTGATACCCTCATTCTGTTGTCTTCAGGAATGAAGTAATTTTTGTCAAACAATACTGAATGGGAAAATTAATTCATTGGAAGTCAGACTCAGGCAACTTTTGAACTACTATTGTCATTTTCAGCTTATTATGTGGTTTGATCACTTTTATGGAATCATAATATGGTAGAAATCTTCAAAGTATACAAGTGCAAAATAGTTTCTATTCAATAGTTTTTGACATTTTGACTCACTTTTTAAAAATTGACATGCAATTGCATGTATTTATCATAAACAACATAATATTTTGAAATATATATAGTGGAGTAACTAAATCTAACTAATG
The DNA here is from genome assembly GCF_000001405.40 of Homo sapiens. Lineage (NCBI taxonomy): Eukaryota > Metazoa > Chordata > Mammalia > Primates > Hominidae > Homo > Homo sapiens. The sequence continues at coordinate 72,437,746 of NC_000012.12, forward strand.
AACATATACATTACCTAATGTAGTTATTTTTATGGTGCGAACACTTTATATTCATTTTCTTAGCATTTTTCAAGAATACAATATATTATTAACTATGGTCACCATTTATACAATAGAACTCTTAAAATTGTTTCTTCTATCCAAATGAAATTTTGTATGTTTGAGCCAATTTATTTCCAACCCACCCCAATCACCCCAGCCCTTGGTAAACACCATTCTATTTTCTACTTCTATAAGATCAGCTTTTTTAGATTTCATATGTGAGTGAGATCATGTGGTAATTTTCTTTCTGTGACTGACTGGGTTATTTCACTTAACATAATGTCCTTCAGGTTCATCCATGTTGTCACAAATGACAGGCTTTTCTTCTTTTATACGGCCGAATAGTATTTCATTGTGTATATATACCATGTTTTCTTTATCTATTCATCTGTTGATGGACACTTAATTTGATTCCATATCTTGGCTATTGTGAGTATTCTGCAGTGAACATGGAAGAGTGATATATCTTTGACCTATTGATGTCATTTTCTTTGTATATTTACCCCATAGTGGGATTCCTGGGTCATGTGGTAGTTCTATTTTTAATTTTTTGAGGAACCTCCATACTGTTTTCTGTAATGGCTGTACTAATTTACATTCCTATCAATAATGTGCAAGGATTCCCTTTTCTCTACGTGCTCACCAACACTTATCTTTCAACTTTTTTGATGATAGCCATTCTAAGAGGTATGAGATGGTATCTCATTGAGATTTTAATTTTCCTGATGATTAGTGATGAGCATTTTTTCATATACTTTTTGGCTATTTTTATGTCATGTTTTGAGAAATGTCTATCATGGTGTTTTGCTTTCATCAGATTTTTTTGTGATCATATTTTCTTCCATCAGATTATTTGTTGAGTTAAGTTCTTTATATATTTTGGATATTAACCCTTTATCAGGTGTAGAGTTTGCAAATATTTTTGCAAAATTTTTGAAAATATTTTTTGTTCACTCTGTTATTACCTTTGCCATGCAGAAGTTTTTTGGTTTGATATAATTTCATTTGTCTATTTTAACTTTTGTTGCCTCTGTTTTTATGGTCACATCTAAAAAGGCATTGCCTAGACCAAGGTGTTGGAGCATTTCCCCTTTTAGTAGTTTCGTAGTTTTGAACCTTATGTGTAAGTCTTTAATCCATTTGAGTTCCTTATGTGTAAGTCTTTAATCCATTTGAGTTGATTCTTGTGTATGGTGTGAGATGAGTCCAATTTTATTTTTTCACATGTGAATATCCAGTTTTTCAAGCATCGTTTATTGAAGAGATTGTCCTTTGCCCATTGTATGTTCTTGGTGCCTTTGTTGAATGTCAGTTGGCTCTGGATGCATGCATTTATTTCTGGGCTCTCTCTTCTGCTTAATTGGTCTATGGTTCTGTTTTTTCCCCTTAGTACCATACTGTTTTGGTTACTATAGCTTTATAGTATATTTTGAAGTCAGGTAGTGTGGTGCCTCCAGCTTTGATCTTTTTGCTCAAGTTTGCTTTGGCTATTCAGGGTCTTTTTGGTTCTATAGAAAATTTTGAGATTTTTTTCTATTTTTGTGAAGAATATCATTGGTTATTTTGATAGCAATTGCATTGAATCTATAAATTGCTTTGAGTAATATGAATATTTTAACAATATTAACTCTTCCAATCCATGAACATGGGATTTTTTTCCATTTATTTGTGTCTTCTTCAGTTTCTTTCATTCATAGTTTTCAGTGTGAAGATCTTTCACTTCCTTGGTTAAATCCATTTCTAGGTACTTAATTTTTTTGTAGCTATTGAAATGTGATTATTTTTCTGATTTCCTATTTTTTTGTTTATGTATATCTTGAAACTTTACTGAATTTTTTAGTTTTAACAGTGCTTCAGTGGAGTCTTTAGGGCTTTCTATATATATGATCATATCATCTGCAAACATGAATAATTTGACTTCTTCCTTTCCTATTTAGATGCATTTTCTTTCTTTCTCTTGCTTAATTGCTCTGGGTGGGACCTTCAATACTGTGTTGAATAGAAGTGGTAAGAGGGAGCATCATTTTCTTGCTCCAGATCTTAGAGAAAAAGCTTTCAACTTTCCTGACATAATAGCATACCACTGAGTATTGTGTTAGTTGTGGGTTTGTCATATATAGTCTTTGTTTTGTTGAGTGACATTCCTTCTATACCTAACTTGTTGAGAGTTTTTATCAAGAAAGGATATTGGATTTTCTCATATGCTCTTTCTGCATCTATTTAGGTGATTATATGGTTTTTGTTCTTCATTCTGTTAATGTAATTTATCACACTTATTGATTTATGTATGTTGAATCATACTTGCATCACTGGGATGAATCCCACTCGATAATGGGCAGTGATCTTTTTAGTGTGCTGTTGTATTCGATTTGCTAGTATTTTGTTGAGGATGTTTACATTTATGTTCATCAGGAATATTGGCCTACAGTTTTCTTTTTTTGCAGTGTCTTTGTCTGGCTTTGGTATCAGTGCTATGCTCTTGTATTCTAATTTTTTGAAATACTTTGAGAAGAATTAGTATTAGTTTTTCTTTAAACATTTTACATAATTTAGAAGTGAAATCATTAGGTCATAGGCTTTTCTTTGATGTGAAACTTTTTATTACTTATTCAATCTCAATTTTATTAAATTTTCACATACATATTTTTAAGAATAAATTGGCATCTGAGATTTTTTTTTGCAAACTGTTTTTCGTTTTGTAGAGGGCTCAAAATATATTTATCTTTTACATTTCATGTTAATAATGCTAGATAAAATATATAAGCATATAAATGCTAGCACATATATTGACTTATTTAATCTTCATAACAGTCCTATGATATATATCCATATCAGCATACTTTGACAAAAACAGTAACTGAGGTACAAAGAGATTAAACAGTGACAGTAAGTGGTAGACTCAGGATTCAATAGGTAGCCTGGCTCTAGCATCTGAGGTACAAACCCCCCTGCTGTATTCTTAGTGGGAGGTGTGGTATGCTTGGAACATCAGAGTAGATCGCACCCAACACAGGGTCTGTCACAGGTAGATGTTTGGTAACTATTAATGATAGCAACCAGGACTTCAATTTCTGGGATTCAGATGACATCACATATTTACTTCAACTGCAAAAGATAGAGATATGCACATTCAAAATGGATATTTATCAAGAAGTTAGTAACAAATGACTCAATAAACAATACACACTTGGCAATTTTTTGGAGTGAAGGATATTCATGTGTTATGACTTTCTGAAATGAAGATAATCAGGATAAATTAAGGGGAATCAAAATACTGTTATACTCAGTTCCATGCTATCTCTTTAGATTTCAGTACTATACAAGATGATAAGGGCTTAATGAAAAAAAAAATCAATGGATAAATTTTAACTACTTGCAGTTTTCAGTGGCTATGTTGTAACAGGCTCTTTCTGTTTTATTTTTGCTGGTGTTTTGCTTTGACTATAAATGATGATTTGCCTTCCTCTCATATAATGTTTTGCCTTTTTATCATGGAAGTTATGTAGTCATTTGCATGGAAAAAATAGTTTGTTATTTGGGTACAGCAGTAATAAAATTGACTAATAATAACTTTTCAGTTTTCCCTTTACTCTTTTTGCTCTTCCTACCTCCATGATGACTGTCTTGCTCTTTCTCTGAAAGCCTTCAGTGAGTAGTAAGACAGTTCATCATTGCAGTACACAAGGTGATTGACATCAAGCTGGACAGGCGGGAAAGGGAAAAGGACAGGAGGTGTGGGGAAAACCTGATGAGAAATACAGCTTCCTTTTAATCCTTCTGGAGAATCTCTGAAAATGTTTTTAAGTGGTTTACTGTTACAGGCAGAATCATAAAATATAAGTAATATCAGTTTTGAGTTTAATGAAGAGAGCTGTTATAGGTGTATTCTCATTTCCAGAGAACTCGAAGCTATTCCATTCCAGTTGACGTTGTTGGCCAAATACATCACATGCATATTGAATTTTGATGATTTCAAAATCCAAAGATAAACAAGATAATAAAGCAAATGCTAGTAAGAAATAGAAATGAACAATAATATTTCAGCGATAGTGCTTGAAATATAAAATAAATGAATAAGTTGATTTGGATAGGAATCCTCCGATTTTCTGCCACCCATTTTTCCTTGAGTAAACTTGGGAACACCAGACAGAATTTTTTAGAACATTCCTTGTGAACACTAAGCAAAAGGCTGAGTGGGGGTGTTAACTGAAGCTACAAGTCTCTTTATATTCTCTGTAATGCTTGAGCTATATTTAGAGTAACATTTCACCTTGTAAAGAGAGGATAGTCTGTAAATGATGCCGGGATTATTTGGGATTTACGTTGGCATCCTGCTTCATCCCGCTCCTCTACATGAGACTTATTTAGGTGGTTGATAACTATTATTCACATTGACTTTTAAATGTGATTAAGGCTTTTCACTCAGTTTAAAGGAAATAATTCTATTTTTAAGCCATCTTGGTAGAGAGCCTCATCGATGTGTGATAAAATACAAAGGAGATTTTTGCTCCACAAAGAGAGGGCAGAGATACTTGGGCAAGTCTCACTTATCTACATGGCTTTGCAATCTATGGAAGATTTACTCTGTCACTTCTTTACCACTTAGTCACTCCTGAGCCTACAGCAGTCTGGCTCTCATCCCCAGCAGTCCTTTGAAACTACCTGGCAAAGGCAGATTGGCCAAATCCAATAAACACTTTTTCCTTACTTATCTATCTGCATTTCCTTGCTGCATTTGGCGTTATTGATCCTTCTTTCATTCTTGGAACTTTATTTCCTCTGATAGCACTACCTCCTGTTTTTCCCTCTACCACTTTGATTAATGCTTACTGGACCTCCCTTCATGGATTATGAGTTATATTTTTGCAGTAGATCCAAACAGCATTCGGCTTCCCTGCTCCTATTTTGCACCCTGAACAGTCTGGCTCTTCCCATGTATTTCATGTCTCAATTGTTTGTGCTCCCATGTAAGGAGTTGGCCTAAAAGTCATAAACAATAAGGAGAGGATTTTTAGGTTCCTTCACCTTGCTGCCTTCATATCAGTCATCCAATTTCACATCTTAACTATTTCTTAATTCTATCCACTCTTCCATAGTCCTGTTAACACTGAACAGCATAAGGACTCACTTGTCACTTATTTCCTTGCCTTCAGTTATTTCTACCTGAAATCCACCTTTCAAACTTGAAAAAGGTAAATCTGACCATGCTATTCTCTTGCACTCTTCATTGGTTTCCCCTTGCTCCTAGAATAAAATACAGGTTCTTAGCATGACATGTAAAGTCCTCCACGATTTGGTCATTGACTACCACTTTAGCTTCATTTTCCCGAATCCTATGCTACCAACATTGTACTACAATAGTATTCCATAGCTTATTTTCCACACATACTTCGCTACTTCTTTCCTGTGTGTGTGTGTGTGTGTGTGTGTGTGTGTGTGTGTGTTTTCCACTACTTTATGTGCTTGAGATGCCTTGTATCCTCATTCTTTTTGTTCATAACTTCTTTATCTTTAAGGGAGTCTACTCAATCACCATTACTCTAGAAAGCCTTTTTTGTGTTCCATGATTGAATTAGATGCTCTCTTTTTGTATTTTCCTAGTATCCCAGGTATTATATTGCACTTACTATGTACTTAAACTATGTTTCATGACCTTGTTGAGACCTAAGAAGCAAGGACTTAGATTGAGTATTAGTCACCTTTTTTTCCCTAGGATTGAGCATAATAGCTGGGTATAAACATAACAATGGTAATGAAGTAAACTGGTTAAAAATAAGGAAAACTTTTAGTGTATTGTGAGAAAAAATGGAGAACACATTGAGTGGAACATTTTGCATTAAGCTGTATCTATTTTTCTCTATATATTTTATATTATAATGTATTGTGACAATATGGTCAGGAAGATAGGCATTTTGTTTGGCTGCTGCTATGGATCCTTTCTATATTTCTGGGTTTAATACTAACAAGTAGGTAAAGGAGCTATTCACTGCAGAGGGGAGAGGCTGCTATAGAAAGAGCGTGGATTCCAAGAGAAAAGTAGTGCTAGTGTGACTTACTATTATCAGGATTTACATGTGATTTACATATCAATTTACTCAAATATTCCATAGAAATGAGATAATTTTTCAATTAAAGGGGCCATAAAGATTGTGTAATTCATCATCCCATCTGACTGGTAATTTTGCCAAAGACAGAGCCTGGAAGATATTGAATAGTAAACTAAATGCTAATTTATTTCCTTCCTCTTTTTGCATATAAAGAAGAATTGTGACATCAGTTTAAAATAAAGAAACCAAAATGCCTTGGCCTTGGGCCACATTGTTTCTTTATAGGCAAAGCTAAAAAAACAAGGTGCTCCTGATTTTTAGTGCACCCATCTTTTAGATGATGTTCTGATTTCAATATTTTTAAAAAACCCCAAAGATGAAGTTTTCTTTTTTATAAATGTAGACTCTAGGAGATAGTCACACTTGTAACCCCCAATCTTGGCAGCTTCTACTACAAATTCCCTTATTCTAATTGCACTGTAAAAGTCTGTCTTTCATTTGCTAATCTGTGTCCTTTAGGGTGCTGGGTGCAGCTCAAAGTTCTGCTTAATTTTTTTAAAGGAAATGGTTTTATCTGATATTTCTTTGTTACTTTACTGTTACTGGCATACCCAACATTTTTTTTTGAAAAATCAGTTGATAGCAGAGTAAAGTAAGAGATGATAGTTACCCTTAAATATTGAACCAAGAAGTACATCCTGCTAAACTTTAGTTTATTATTCTAATGGCAAAACTTGAAGACTTTATAAGGACATAGTTGAGTAAAATACCTACTGTCCTAATTGTGGGCCTAATTGAAGGGATTTGGAGAGAAGTGAGAGATAGTATTTAATAATTTAATAAGATTAAATCTAAACCATATTATGAACACCATTTATCACAGGCTAAGAAATGTCTGTTAGTGAAGCTGGAGAGCGAGCCACTTGATCTTATGGAGTTAAGGATCACATAGTGAAAGGAGTGTATTTTAAAGGAGGCGTGGTGAGGAGAGGCTGGATATTCTCCCTGGTCTTCTTCTGTGCCATTCCCATGGCCTTTATGAAACTTTGCTTGTTTATTAGTACTGTAGCAGAGTAGTAAGCAGTTTTCATGACTTTACTATTCTCTTTCCTCCCATTCAGATGTGTATTTTGACTTTCATGATTCTCTCAGCCTGCTTAGTTGCTCTCTGTGTTTTTCTATGTGACCTTTCCAACAAGTACCTTCTTCTTCTCCAGATAGCTTCTAAGACGTCTTAACAAGTGATTATTTGAAGGTTTTAAGAAAAATACTCAATGACCAAGAATTCACTGAAATATCAGACATTGAGCATGTTGTGTGCCTCAGTTGGGATTTTTTTTTTCAAATTGCTTCTTAAAGGAAGTGATATGATTTAATGCTATTAAATATAGATGAAGATGAACTGTGGAATTGAGGTTGTTTTATCACATATTTTTTAATAAGTGAAAATAAATTCTACATGTCATGTATAATACTACTATTTTTCTTCCACTCTGAAGAAAATATTGCCCTGTTCATAGGTGTATTTATCCCATACTCAAATGCCTCAGCCCTTCTCATTTTGAGATTGATTGCTTGTGCTTCTCAGGTTTTTCAGAGACACTCCCAACCTGTTTCAGCAACCTCTCTTGCTTCCTACCTCATAGCTGGATATTCTTTCATCCATAACTTGTATTTCAAAGCTGCCCTAACATTTATTTTTGTTGCTTTGCTGAATTCATGTTAGGTAGAAGTGTGCCCTATGGAAAATAATTAACTGTTACCAAATATATCGTTCATCTTAAGCTTTTAAAGGAAGAGTTTTGAGAGGATTTCCACTGATTTATTTCCAACTAACTCAATTTATGATTGACTCTTTCTAGATCAGACATTACAAATGGACAAACTACAGGCCAAGTATGGCACATGGATAGATTTTATTTGGTCTTGAAGATGTTATTAAGCCTTTGAATTAATTGCCAATATTTTACAGTTGGGAGATTTCACATAAAAATCCAGATTACTAGCTTGCTTGCTTTCTTTTTTCCCCCCGGCTTTCTTGAAATATTAGAATTATCTGGCAACACTGGGCCTGCATTCCCATGTGGGCACTGGTTGGTTAGGGATGAAGGTTTTAGAATATGAGCTCTCCATTTATTTACAGGTCTCTACTCTATTTCATCCCCATTTGTATTTCTCCTTGTCCCAGTAGACTTTTTAATTGGTCCGTGCGCTAGACCAGTGCTTCTCAAATTTTAATTTACATGTGAATCACCTGGGGACCTGTCAAAATCCAAATATCGATTCAGTGATGGGTGGGGCCCGATTGTGCATTTCTTTTTTTTTTTTTTTTTATACTTTAAGTTCTAGGGTACATGTGCACAACATGCAGGTTTGTTACATATGTATACATGTGCCATGTTGGTGTGCTGCACCCATTAACTTGTCATTTACATTGGGTATATCTCCTAATGCTATCCCTCCCCCTTCCCTCTGAGAGATTTTGTCACCACCAGGCCTGCCTTAGGAGAGCTCCTGAAGGAAGCACTAAACACGGAAAGGAAGAACCAGTACCAGCCACTGCAAAAACATGCCAAATTCTAAAGACCATTGATGCTAGGAAGAAACTGCATCAACTAGTGAGCAAAATAACCAGCCAACATCATAATGACAGGATCAAATTCACACATAACAATATTAACCTTACATGTAAATGGGCTAAATACTCCAATTAAAAGACACAGACTGGCAAATTGGATGAAGAGTCAAGACCCATCAGTGTGCTGTATTCAGGAGACCCATCTCATGTGCAGAGACACACATAGGCTCAAAATAAAGAGATGGAGGAAGATCTACCAAGCAAATGGAAAACAACAACAAAAACAGCAGGGGTTGCAATCCTAGTCTCTGATAAAACACAGTTTAAACCAACGAAGATCAAAAGAGACAAAGAAGGCCATTACATAATGGTAAAGGGATCAATTCAACAAGAAGAGCTAACTATCCTAAATATATATATGCACCCAATGCAGGAGCACCCAGATTCATAAAGCAAGTCCTTAGAGACCTACAAAGAGACTTAGACTCCCACACAATAATAATGGAAGACTTTAACACCCGACTGTCAACATTAGACAGATCAACGAGACAGAAAGTTAACAAGGATATCCAGGAATTGAACTCAGCTCTGCACCAAGCGGACCTAATAGACATCTACAGAACTCTCCACCCCAAATCAACAGAATATACATTCTTCTCAGCACTGCATCGCACTTATTCCGAAATTGACCACATAGTTGGAAGTAAAGCCCTCCTCAGCAAATGTAAAAGAACAGAAATTATAACAAACTGTCTCTCAGACCACAGTGCAATCAAACTAGAACTCAGGATTAAGAAACTCACTCAAAACTGCTCAACTACATGGAAACTGAACAACCTGCTCCTGAATGGCTACTGGGTACATAACGAAATGAAGGCAGAAATAAAGATGTTCTTGGAAACCAATGAGAACAAAGACACAACATACCAGAATCTCTGGGACACATTTACAGCAGTGTGTAGAGGGAAATTTATAGCACTAAATGCCCACAAGAGAAAGCAGGAAAGATCTAAAATTGACACCGATTGTGCATTTCTAACAGTCTCCTAGTGATGTCAATGTTGCCATTCCAGGGCAGTATTTTGAGTAGTAAGGTTCTAGACCAGTGGTTCTTCATGTATGATTCTTAACCAAAAGCATTAGCAACTACGGAATCAAGCAATCTGTTTTATGAAACCCTGATGGTGACTCTGATACACACTCATATTTGAGAACCACCATCCTAGTCTATCTCGGGTATGAATACTATTTTTAAAATCACCTTCTAAGTCTGATGTTTTAAACCCTGGCTGAATGTTAGACATTATTTGGAGAATTTTCAAAAAAAGATTGATGCTTGAGCTGCACTCCTAGAGCCTCAGAGAGAATTGATCTGGAGTGGGGCCCAGGCATCAGTATTTCTAAAAGGTTCTCAATTTATTCTAAGGTACAGCACAGCTGAGAACCATGCTCAGTAAAGAGACTTTCTTGGCACATTACCTGAATGTTCAATAGCTCTCTTGTCAGAAAAAATTTATAACTGTAACACTTCTAATTTAAGTCCATTTGTTTTTTGCTATATCCTCTGTAAAGAAAAAAGTAGCTGATTTCCCATCATGTTCTTAATGATTACTAGGTCCTTTGATCAAAAATGGTGTTTCATAAGTCATCTCTTTACAAGTGTATTTGTTGTTTTGAAAGCCTGTTTCACTATCTCCTTGCAGAATGCATTCTATTTTTGTGCTTTATGGATTAGGAAACATTTCTTGCTAATTCTGTTGACACAACCTAATGGATTAAGTTGTGCACTGCACAACTCTAGAAGGCTGCCATTCACATTTGTTGCCATCATAGATTTGTGCATTTATTAAGACTGTTTTCTGGTTGATGGTATTACAGTGCCTTGCGTAAGAGGTGGCTTTTTCTAAATTGTGTAATGGCTTCATTTGGGCTAGCAATAAGGCTCTATTTAGTTTAACAAACAAAACCACTATAAATTCATGATAAAACAAATTTACTTCAACTGAAAAACATACTATGTAACAATTGTTTGATAAATAAGCATTGGTTTTATTTAGTATCAGTGTTAAGCAGTTAATAAACTTTAATTAGCTAATCTATTGGTAAACTTATGGTAGTAGTGTTCTGGAAAAATTATTTGAAGGTTAAATATTAATACCGAATTCATTTGACTATTTTAGAACTATTTTTCAAAGTTGTGTCCGTTATGTATTATGTTCTGAATTGTGACATTAAGAATTACAACTTACTATCTCTAAAGTGTCTTAGAGTATGTAAAATGCTATTACAGGTTAGCCCAATGATTTGAACTACAGCATTACAGAAAGCAATTTAGGAAAAAAAAATGAAAGAAAGAAAAGGAGACATATTATCACTAGTCATTTTGTTTGCCTTTAGAGGTAATGGAAATTTTTTATTTTTACTTTTTTTTTTTGTATGTGTGGAAGACGCAAAGGAATAACTTAAGCTAACTCTGCAAAAATAATAGATCCTTTGCCTTTGGGCTTAAAGTGTAAGTGACTGGCTTGTAATGCCACTTTACCACCTGCTGTTATATTCAGTCAGAGTGGAAATGAAACATTTGTATATTGTAGCAGTCGGTACTGTGCCATATATATTTTCTTAATTTGAACATGTCAACAGAGCATGGTTTGCATCTTATCCAGCTTCCTCTTTTCCTCTAAGGTTTAAGGGGTGTGTTTGTTTATGGCAGAGCACATTTTGATGTTTTTCATTGACACCAGATAATATACCATACTAAAGAATGCAGGCTTTCAGTAGCCAAAAAATTTATGTTTGAAATAGAGGTCTAACTAAATTTTTATATAAACTCATTGGCAGTAAAGCAAAGAAATTTAGAGCAAGTTGACACAGAGTCTTGCCTTTTATACTACAATGCCGTGACAGGGGACTGAATATTTGTGGAAATCAACACTGGTAATCCATAATAAACCTGTAAATGTTGTTTATTTAGTATTTACCTAGGTAATAGCAGAAGTGCATGTGATCTGATTTTTGAATTTTTTTTTCTGGCATTGTGTACACACTGCCTCTACTATTTTTTTTCCTTCAAAAAGCTTTTTAAAACAATAGACTTTAGTTCAGACTGCATTTTTAGTAATAGAAAGATAGATGGCTTAGGCATGCTCTTTTCAGTGTCTCATAGCTCTGGGTGCAAATCCCTACTATTTTTGATTTATTGTAGGTCCTTTGAGCCCCTTTTCCATTAACATAAAAATACAACAGGATGCAGCATAGAGTTCAGATTGCAAATATGGACTCTGAAGCTAGGCAGCCCAGGATTTAACTATTGGAAAGGATTTAAAGACAGTCATGGTGTTATGGGAAGGAACTTTTGTTATTACTTTTCCTTTACTAGCAATAAATGGAATTTTTGAAGTTAACATTACAAAAACATACTTTGTTCTATTCTATAATATAAAAATATTACCTCCTTTTTCTCCACTTATTTTCCCTCTCCTTCCTCACTTTTCTCCTTCTAGTTTCCTGGATTCACAATCTTGGTTAATGGAATACAATGATTCCATTCATTTCCCCATTCATTCAGTTGGGTAGTGTGGTCTATGCTTCTTTGTTGAGTTTCTCATCTGAATTTAATATTTAGTTAATTACCAAGTCCTGCCTGTTTCCACCTCTGAAATCCCTCTGGGTATATCTCCAAAGAGTACAAAATATCAGTCAGATAGGAGGAATAAGTTCAAGTTGTACAACATGGTGACTATGGTTAATAGCAATGTACTATATTCAGATATACCTCTGAAATGCCTCTATATTTTACATAGGATTCTATTATCTCTTACTTAGACTACTACAATATCTGCTTCTATTCTCCTCCCATCTAAAGCAGTGATTTTCAACCTTCATTTCACTTTTGGGCCATTAAACAAATGAAGAAGCCTAGGTCCTACCTTAGAAAAATTAAGAATCGGTGGAAGTGAACACCAGGCATTAATTTTTACAATTTATTAATTAACCATTATAATTGATAAATAAAAATTGTATATCCTTAACATGTACAACATGATGTTTTGAAATATGCATACATCGTGGAATGGCTAAGTCAAGCTAATTAACACATGCTTTACCTACCTCACATACTTATTACTCTCTTACCAATTGTCAAGAATATAGTACATTGCTATTAACCATAGCCACCATGTTGTACAACTTGAACTTATTCCTCCTATCTGACGGAAATTTTGTACTCCCTTTGGAGATAGACCCATAAGAGGGACTGCTGGATCATATGATAATTCTATTTTTAATTTATTTAGGAACTTCTACACTGGTTTTCATAATGGCTGTAATAATTTACATTCCCATCAAGGGAATGTGTGCAAGGATTCCCTTTTCTTCTCATCCTCTCCAGCACTTAGTATCTTTTGTTTTTTCTGTAGTAGCCATTCTAACAGGTGTGAGGTGATAACTCATTGTGGTTCTCATTTGTATTTCCCTGATAATTAGTGATGTTGACATTTTTTTCATATACTTCTTGGCCATTTGTATGTCTTCTTTGGAGAACTGTCAATTGCAGTGGTTTGCTCATTTCAAAATCAAATTATTTGTTTTCACTATTGAGTTGTTTGACTTTCTTATATTAACCCTTCATCAGGTATATAGTTTGCAAATATTTTCTCCCGTTCTTTACTTTGTTGATTGTTTCCTTTGCTGCATAGAAGTATTTTAGTTTGATATAATCTGATTTGTTTAGTTTTGCTTTTTGTTGCCTGTGCTTTTGAGGTTGTATCCAAAAAAAATTATTGCCCAAAGCAGTACCATTGAGCTTTTCTCCTCTGTTTTCTTCTAGTGGTTTTATAGTTTCAGTTCTTATGTTTATATCTTTAACCCATTTTGCATTGACTTGTGTATATGGTATGAGATCAGGGTCTAATTTCATTATTCTGCATGTGGATATTTAGCTTTTCCAGCACCATTTATTGAAGGGACTGTCCTTTCTCTATTGTGTGTTCTTGGCACATTTGCCAAAAGTCAATTGACCAAAAATGCAAGGATTTATTTCTGGGCTCCCTATTTTGTTCTATTGGTCTATGTGTCTGTTTTTATGCCAGCACTTTGGTGTTTTTATTTCTATGGCTTTATAGTATGTTTTCAATTAAGGCAGTGTGATGCCTCTGGCTTTGTTTTTTGTTGTTGTTGTTGTTGTTGTTCAAAATTGGTTTGGATATTTGGGCTCTTCTGTGGTTTTGTATAAATTTTAGGCACTTTTTTTTCCTGTTTGTGCAAAAAATGTCATTTGACAGGAATTACATTGAATATATAGATTGCTTTGGGTAATTTATCAATATTTTAACAATATTAATTCTTTCAATACATGAATACTGATATCTTTCCATTTATTTGTGTCTTTTTCTTTTCTTTTTTCTTTCTTTTTGTTTGTTTTGTTTTGTTTTTCGAGATGGCATCTTGCTCTGTTGGCCAAGCTGGAACACAGTTGTGCAATCTTGGCTTACTGAAACCTCTGACTTCTGGGTTCAAGTAATTCTCCTGCCTCAGCCTCCCAAGTAGCTGGGACTACAGGCCTGTGCCAGCATGCCCAGCTAATTTTTGTATTTTTAGTAGAGACAGGGTTTCACTATGTCGGCCAGGCTGGTCTCAAACTCCTGGCCTCAAGTGATCTGCCCGCATTGGCCTCCCAAAGTGCTGGGATTACAGGCGCGATTTCTGTTTCTTTTGTCAGGGTTTTATAGTTTTCATCATACAGGTATTCTGCCTTATTGGTTATATTTATTCCTGAGGTTTTTTTTTTGTAGATACTGTAAACAGGATAGTTTATTTGATTCTTTTGATAGTTTCTTGTTAGTATATAGAAACACTACTGATTTCTGTATATTAATTTTGTATCCTGCAACTTTACTGAATTCATTTATTAGCTCCAGTAGTTTTTTTGGTGGGGTCTTCAAGGTTTTCAATATGTAAGATTGTGTCATTGGCAAATGAGAACGGTTGAAATTCTTTTCTCATTTGGATGATTTTTATTTCTTCTCTTGCCTAATTGCTCTAGCTAGGGCTTCCAGGACTATGTTTACTGGAAGTGACAAGTGTGGGCATCCTTGTCTTGTTCTGGATTTCAGAGGAAAGGCTTTTAAATTATTGCTGTTGAGTATAATGTTAGCTATGGGTTTTTCATATATGGATAATATAGTTTGGATGTGAGTTCCTGCCCAAATCTCATGTCAAAATCTAATTCCCACTGTTGAAGATGGGGCCTGATGGGAGGTGATTAGATCATGGGGGTGGACTTCTCATGGATCATTTAGTACCATCCTCTTGATACTGTTCTCACAATAGTGAGTTCCCATGAGATCTGGTCATTTAAAATCATGTGCCCCCTCCCCCTTCACTCTCTTGCTCCTGCTCTGGCCATGTACATGCCTACTCCCCCTTTGCCATGATTGTAATTTTCCTGAGGCTTCCCTAGAAGCCAAGCAGAGGTCAGCATCATGATTCCTGTACAGCCTGTGAAACCATGAGGCAATTAAACATTTTCTTCATAAATTACCCCATCTTGAATATTTCTTTATAGCAATGTGAGAACAGCCTAACACAGATCATTGGTACTAAGCAGTGGGGCATTGCTATAGAGATACAGACAAATATGGAAACAGCTTTTGAACTGAGTAGTCAGCAGAGATTTGAAGAGTTTGGAGGCTCAGAAGAAGACAGGAAGATGAAGGAAAGTATGGAATTTTTAAGAGACTGGGTAAATAATTGTGACTAAAATGCTGATAGTGATAGGAACAGTAAAATCCAGGCTGAGAAGGTCTCAGATGGAAATGACAGATTTATTGGGAGCTGGAACAAAGGTCACTTATGTTTTGCCTAAGCAAAGAACTTGGTTGGATTGTGTAAATGCCCTAGGGATATGTGGAAGTTTGAACTTGAGAGTGATTACCTAGGGTATCTGGCAAAATAAATTTCTAAGCAGCAGTATTCAAGATGTGACATGGCTGCTTCTAATAGCCTAGCTCAGATGTGGGAACAAAGAAATAAGTTGGAATTTATATTTAAAAGAGAAGTAGAATGTAAATTTTGGAAAATTTGCAGCCTGGCTATGTGGAAGAAAAGAAAAGCCCATTTTCAGGAGAAAAATTCAAGCTGACGGCTGAGCAACCACTTACTAGAGAAATTTGCATAACTAAAAAGAAGGCAAGAGCTAATAGAGAAAACAATGAGGAAAAGGCCTTGAAAGTATTTTAGAGACCTAAGAAGCAGCCCCTCCCATCACAGGCCCTGAGGCCTAGGAGGACAGAATGGCTTCCTGAGCCAGGCTCAGAGCCCTGTTGCCCTGGGCAGCCTTGGGACACTGCTTCCTGCATCCCAGCTGCTCCATTTCCAGCTGTGGCTCAAAGGGGCCCGGGTACAGCTCAGACCACTGATTCAGAGGGTGTAAGCCATAAGCCTTGGCAGGTACCATGTTGTGTTAAACCTGTGGGTGCACAAGTTTTCCTAAGTTGACCAGGATAAGTATTTGGGTTTCTCAGGTGATGGGCAGTGTCATAAAGCTTCCAAGAATTTATACCTTTTGTCACAGTCTCCTTTTCATTTTCAGTTTTGCACTACTACCAGATATTTTTGAGTACACTTGTTCTGACTTAGCTGAATTTATCTACTTTTGAAGTAGTATACTTATGATTTTCAGTAGCTAAATTTCAAGGCACATATGCGTGTAGAGTGAAGTTCATTGTAAGAGTAGTATAAATCAATAGTGCAAAAATGCTTGTTGATAAATTTGTTTTTTTTTAAAAAAAATATGTAATCAACTCTTTGTTTTTACCTTATAATGAAAATGGGATAAAATGGAGTATAATGGTTGAGGGATCTAAACATTTATAAATGTTAACTCCAATCTAATATTTTTTGCAGGAATCTTTTTAAGCTGTCTATTTATTTTGTGAAGATTGTTTAAACTAATATAATTTATAAATTGATTTAAGTTGGTGCTCAGGTGCTGTCATGTGTCCTTTTCCCTTGAAAGTGAACTAATGAGAAAGGCAGTGCTATTATGACATCTATGGAACCATTAATCCCTGTTCATGGACCTTGATACATGAACAGAAGAGAATATCTTACATTGAATACTGAAAAAGCTTAATCTATTTCTTATTGTACCAGGCAAAAATAAATATAAATAAACATTGTATTTTACTCGCCAATCTTCATGGATAGTCTTAAGCAAACTCAGGGGAAAGGACCCCATCATGGAAGACTTACTCTAAGTCTGTGATTCCCAAACTTTAATGTACATATAAGTAGTCTGAGGATCTTGTTAAAATGCATATTCTGATTCAGTTAGTCTAGAGCAGGTTCTGAGATTCTTCAGCTCTAACAAATCCTCAGATGATGCCAGTGCTGTTGATTCATGAACCACACCTTGGAGTAACAAGGCTAGAGTGTGATAGTTTTCTCCCTAAACACAGATTGTTCATGGTCCTGCACTACTTGAGTAAAAACCCATAAAGCTATACAATATCCTTCAAGATTTATTTGCTTCCATCCTAACTTGCCTCCTGCCATTTCTCTTCATGGATCTTAGGCTTCCCCAAACACTGAGAATGCTTTATGATTCATTGAACACAATATTTTACACCTTTAGTCTAAGACCCAGTAATATAGAATAAGAAGGTCAGGAAGGAGGAAGGGAGAGATGACTGTTTAATAAAGTCTCAGAGTCAATGGTGATCTCAAATTTAGAAACTTAATGTCTTTGATGTTCTCAGGCTTAATATTTCTGATATTTCCAAGTGCTAAATTTTATCAATAGATAATCACTACAGAAAAATTTGTAAAAACTTTCTCCGGTACTCTTTGCCATTAAAAAAATGTTATATGTGATCTGAAAATGCAGCATATCTTTGTAATATAATGATAACAACCAACTGGTTATTTGGTACAAAAATCTGCATACTTTATACAAGTGTTTAGTAGTTGTAAACTTTAAAAATAATTTTATAATTCAAGGCTGAAGATTTTGAAAGTTTTTTTTGTAAAGGTAAATTTAGAACTTTTGGTTATTTAATGTATTTTATAATGTTATATCTTCTGTAGAAATATTTTTTCTTGAAATATCATTATATTTATTTTTAATTGAGTGCAGAATCTTTAATGGATGGATTTATGTTTCCAGTAACAAATGGAAGTGTTGGGGATGGAAATTACATTAAATATGAAAACTTACCTAGTAGTCAACAACTTATTAGACCCCTTTAGGGTGGTAGAGATCAGTATGTCAGGTTTAAAACAGTCTGAGATGTTAGAAGTGTCAGAAATAAAAGTTAGAGGTATTGTATTTACTTAGCTAATTTGGAGACTTTACAAATGATTTTTTGAAAGTATTATTTGCTATTATTATTAAATTGGACCTCTTGGGACAGAACCCACAAGTATAGCTTGGTTTTAATCTTTCTGTCTGCCTGGAGTTATATAGGAGTAGATACAGAGGAGTCTACTTTCAGTATGAATTTAGAATCATATACTCATAGAATTCAACGAGTTTGCCAAAATTTGGCTAATCTTAATCCTACATATATATTTCCTATACATATATGTGTATACTCACACACATATATTTTGATTTCTGATGTGTATATATGTAATATTATGCAGTATATACACTCATATATACTCAGTATGTATATTTATATAATAGAAATATTATATAAATATAATATGTAATTACACACACACACACACACACACACACACACACACACACACACACACACAGAGACTCAGAGAGTTGGACATATGTTCCTTGAGTTGGTTAGCTTTCATCACATTCATTTTGGGGCATTCCCTGGTCAGGCTAGAAGGGTGGAAAGGTGGCCAGGCTGTAAGGGTTCCATCCCCATCCAGGACTGGAATATTCCAAATGCTACTGCAAAACATGAGCAGACACTTTTGTGCTCTTGGACCTCTGTATTTTAATATAGCACTTCATGTTATGTGTATATTAGAGTACTGGCTTTCATTTTAATAACTATTTAAACAGATTCCAAGGACACAAATAAAATATTTGCATAGTATATTAGGAGGACAAGAAAAAACAAATAATGAGGAAGGTTATCATTTTCTTCATGGTAGTCTCCTGTTGCAAGTGTAGTGATCAGTTACATGTCGTTTTGAGCTAAAGAACCCTCATGCTCTATTAACTGTGGTGGTAGGAAAATGGCTCCTGGCAATTTTCTATTATGTCAATTCCCTGAGTATTTACATTAGGAGAAACATTTTTATGATTAGTACAAAAAAAAAATCTCTTCTCAGCATTTTCCCGTTATGGGTGCAAAGTGTTTTCCTCCTTATAAAATACAATTTAGGAGTATAACTTAGTGATTCACATTAGATACTGGAGCTTGGAGAGGTAAAGGATTCAGTTCAATATCTGCCTCATTATTAGTTCTTTCTGTATTTCATTTCTTGATCTAATGTAAATTGAACTAGGGAATATTTGGAACACTAGTAATGGGTTTTGAAAAAAATCATTGAATAGAAGCTCTCAGAAACTCTTCTGTGAAAAAATTTGGGAAAGCCACTTTCTTTAAACTCTCAAGAAGATATTTATAACAAAGCATTAGGTACCTTCAGTAATGAAAGACATGGTTCATAATTTGATCAATGCCTCCCAGCTGATACATAATTCAACCTGAATGGGGCATGGCATTCATTTTTCTTCATGACATTGAATGACTTGATGGTATTTCGAACGGAAAGTCTATAGGTTTGGAATATAAAAAAGATAAAGTATTTTAGTAGTATGCAGGCCGAGGACTAAATTGATAAGGTTCTATTTTTAGTTCCCTTAAAGGCAAATTAGCTTCATCTTAGTGTTAAAATGTAGTAAAGTAACACTATGTCATCATATTTTCCATTTCTGTAATTGTGCTGTTTTTAAATTATCTGTTCTTCTTTTTTCTCTCTGCCCTCATTACGCCAAGCACTCTCAGTTGTTCCTAGGAATCTATAAAATTCACAGTGAATTTCAGTATCTCCTGTTTATACAACTAGCTCTCTGATAATCCATTCATTGTTTAGATGCCAGTTAATATTAAGTAATACTACGCACTGCAATAAGTGATTTAAAAAATTAAGCAACCTTTGGGTATCGGCGTTTTTTTTTTCCTCAGGGGCTTCAACAAGTATTTGATTTTGTTTGAAATTAATGCTATACAGTTTTAGACTAAGAACCAAACATTTGGTTCCTTTGGATTATATGTTTGCATTTTTTATTGAATGTTGTGTGAACTACTAGTACAGCTTATGCTAAGAGGAACTGGCCTTAAGGCACAATACATCTTTGTTTTCACTTTGCCAAGCCTACATAAATAATTTCTTTTAAAGGTAACCACTTCATACTCACACTGTCTAAAGTACATAAGAATTTGGAAATATGTTTTACTAACAACTGCAAATTTCAAGAGTTAGGAATGGTCATTTATAAATAGTATTGTTTTCATACTCCCTTCTACTGGAAATGTGAATCTGTCAATTAAAGAGTGTCAAAGAGCTATTCAAACCGCTAAATTGATTTCCAGCTACCTCAGACTTTGAAAATAGGAGAGACTCCTGAGTTCCATGCTGTGGGATGGGCCCACTCAGCAACTGACACTCATTAAAGAGCCGATTATGAGAACCCCTAACAGAGCATTGGTTTTACCCTCCCTTCAGGTGATGGTGCTAATATATGTGATTCGATTTGGTGTTATATCTGTGTAAAATATTTTACAATTTATTTGGGAAACCTGCTGAAAACAATATTGAATGAGCAACTAGTATTCTTTGAAACCGTTAATTAAAATTCAACTACTTGATTATATATTGCCGGTGTTTTATAAATATACCTAAGATATTCATAGACACTGTCAACTCTTCCCTCCCCTGTGGATGGATCACTACTCTTAAATGATGCGATGTCACACTTTCCTGATTTTCTTTCCCCTTTTCATGACAGCATCTTGTCAGTATGCTTTGTGGGCCCCACCCCAGTTGCCTTCGTCCTCTGCCTGTCTCTTAAATCTCAGTGCTCCTCAGACGTCTGTCTTAGCCCTCTTCTCTACTCAGCATTGGTCATGGTCTCCTCCCATCTATGTGTTGATGACTTCTTAAATCTTTTCCCCGACCCCAGCCTCTCCCCAATGCATCAGACTTCTACATTCAGCCTCTTAGTAGATATCTCTATTTGGATGTTCTAGGGGTGACTCAAACTCAGTATGTCCAAAGCAGGATTTGTCAGTGTGTGCTTCAGTCATATTGATCTAGTTTTTTTGATTACTGAAAGTATTGTGTTGTCTCTTCTTTGCCTATGCTACCTCCTTAACCTGAAATACACTTCCCCTCTGGCTACCCACTATTGACTCAACAGATCCCATAATTGGCATTCTCTAAGGAAGCTTTTTCTCATTCTTATGTCAATATTAGAGACTTCTTTTACAGAATAATGGTAATAATTATAAAGGTAATGATGATGATGATAATAACTGTATTAGTTCCCTATTGATGCGATAATAAATTAGCACTTAATTAGTGGCTTAACACAACACAAATTTATTATCTTACAATTATGTAGGCTGAAAGTCTGACACTACTCTCACTGGAGGCTTTAGGGGAAAATCACTACATTTTCTGAACTATTCCAGTTTTTAGAGACTGCACTCCTCAGCTCATGGTCCCCTTCTATCTTCAAAGCCAGCAATGCCTGGTAGAATCTTTCTAACATTTCCTCAATCTGACACTGACTCTCCTCCCATCTCCTGCTTTCACTTTTTAAGACACTTGTGATGATATTGGGTCCACCTGTATAATCCAGGATATTCTTCCCATCTTAATTTCAGCTGATTAGCAATCTTAATTCTGTGTGCAACCTTAATTCCCCTTTGCCAAGTAACCTAATATAGTCACAGGTTCCAGGAATGAGGACCTGGACATCTTTTATCCACAATAGCTAACAGTTATTAATAACTTAACACTTGCTAGGTACTGTTCTAAGCACGCCACATATATTAATTCATACAGTTGTCAAGAACTGTTAGGAGTCTAAGGTTTTACCTTATCCTACTTGTAATATCAACTAGTCAGACCACCACTGTTTCGTGAATGCTGGCAGAAGTCATGAAACTCTTGGATTAGAAATAAAAGACATTATTGTTCTAGCTACAGTAGTAGCTAGAGTATAAGCATTTTTTTTATTCTTTTAGAGACAGGGTCTCACTCTGTTGCCTAGGCTGGAGTGCAGTGACATTATAGCTCACTGCAGCCTCGACCTCCTGGGCTCAAGCAATCCTCCAACCTCAGCCTCCAAAGTAGCTAGGACTACAGGTTTGCACCACCATGCCCAGCTAATTTGTTATTTTAGCAGGAACAATGTCTGACTATGTTGCCCAGACTGGTCTTGAACTCCTGGGATCAGGTGATCCTGTTGCCTCGGCTTCTCAATGTACTGGGATTACAGGTATGAGCCACTGTGTCCTGCTGGTATCATCAATTTTTTGTGCCAGTTCCCAGAGCCCTAATTCCCAAGAGTGACACACACAGGTCCAGCTGATACCTGCACATGCAGTGGATTATATGATAGGTGAATATACCTGACCCTAGGGAATGTGGTTCTTTTATAAGTGATAGTATGTATGCCTTTTGCTCTGGAGAGCCTACTATCTCCGTTTTTGCTATACAAAACCGTCCTTA